>NC_000007.14:58556279-58756417 GCF_000001405.40 Homo sapiens | reverse complement strand
TCTGTCTAGTTTTTATTTGAAGATATTTCCTTTTCTACTGTTGGCATCAAATCGCTTAAAATCTGCACTTGCAAATTCCACAAAAAGAGTGTTTCAAATCTGCTCTGTGCAAAGGGACGTTCCACTCTGTGAGTTGAATACACACAGCACAAAGAAGTTACTGAGAATTCTTCTGTCTAGCATGAAATGAAGAAATCCCGTTTCCAACGAAGGCCTCAATGCGGTCCATATATCCACTTGCAGACTTTACAAACAGAGTGTTTCCAAACTGCTCTATGAAAAGAAAGGTTAAACTATGTGAGTTGAACGCACACATCACAAAGAATTTTCTGAGAATGATTCTGTCTGGTTTTTATTTGAAGATATTTCCCTTTCTACTGTTGGCATCAAATGGCTAGAAATCTCCACTTGCAAATTCCGCAAAAAGAGTGTTTCAAATCTGCTCTGTCTAAAGGGACGTTCCACTCTGTGAGTTGAATGCACACAACACAAAGAATTTACTGAGAATTCTTCCGTCTAGCATTCAATGAAGAAATCCCGTTTCCAACGAAGGCCTCAAACAGGTCCATATATCCAATTGCAGACTTTACAAACAGTGTGTTTCCAAACTCCTCTATGAAAAGAAAGGTTAAACTCTGTGAGTTGAACGCACACATCACAAAGCACTTTCTGAGAATGATTCTGTCTGGTTATTATACGAAGATATTTCCTTTTCTGCAATTGTCCTCAAATCGCTTGAAATCTCCACCTGAAAATGCCACAGCAAGAGTGTTTCAAATCTGCTCTCTCTAAAGCAAGGTTCAACTCTGTGAGTTGAATACACACAACACAAAAAAGTTACTGAGAACTCTTCTTAGTCTAGCATGAAAGGAAGAAACCCCGTTTGCAACGAAGGCCTCAAAGAGGTCCAAATATCCACTTGCAGACATAACAAGCAGAGTGTTTCTAAACTGCTCTCAGAAAAGAAAGGTTAAACTCTGTGAGTTGAAGGCACACATCACAAAGTAGTTTCTGAGAATGATTCTGTCTAGTTTTTATTTGAAGATATTTCCTTTTCTACTGTTGGCATCAAATCGCTTGAAATCTCCACTTGCAAACTCCACAAAAAGAGTGTTTCAAATCTGCTCTGTGCAAAGGGATGTTCCACTCTGTGAGTTGAATACACACAGCACAAAGAAGTTACTGAGAATTCTTCTGTCTAGTATGAAATGAAGAAATCCCGTTTCCAACGAAGGCCTCAATGCGGTCCATATATCCACTTGCAGACTTTACAAACAGAGTGTTTCCAAACTGCTCTATGAAAAGAAAGGTTAAACTATGTGAGTTGAACGCACACATCACAAAGAATTTTCTGAGAATGATTCTGTCTGGTTTTTATTTGAAGATATTTCCCTTTCTACTGTTGGCATCAAATGGCTAGAAATCTCCACTTGCAAATTCCGCAAAAAGAGTGTTTCAAATCTGCTCTGTCTAAAGGGACGTTCCACTCTGTGAGTTGAATGCACACAACACAAAGAATTTACTGAGAATCCTTCCGTCTAGCATTCAATGAAGAAATCCCGTTTCCAACGAAGGCCTCAAACAGGTCCATATATCCACTTGCAGACTTTACAAACAGTGTGTTTCCAAACTCCTCTATGAAAAGAAAGGTTAAACTCTGTGAGTGGAACGCACACATCACAAAGCACTTTATGAGAATGATTCTGTCTGGTTGTTATACGAAGATATTTCCTTTTCTGCAATTGTCCTCAAATCGCTTGAAATCTCCACCTGAAAATGCCACAGCAAGAGTGTTTCAAATCTGCTCTCTCTAAAGCAAGGTTCAACTCTGTGAGTTGAATACACACAACACAAAAAAGTTACTGAGAACTCTTCTTAGTCTAGCATGAAAGGAAGAAACCCCGTTTGCAACGAAGGCCTCAAAGAGGTCCAAATATCCACTTGCAGACATAACAAGCAGAGTGTTTCTAAACTGCTCTAAGAAAAGAAAGGTTAAACTCTGTGAGTTGAAGGCACACATCACAAAGTAGTTTCTGAGAATGATTCTGTCTAGTTTTTATTTGAAGATATTTCCTTTTTCTACTGTTGGCATCAAATCGCTTGAAATCTCCACTTGCAAACTCCACAAAAAGAGTGTTTCAAATCTGCTCTGTGTAAAGGGACGTTCCACTCTGTGAGTTGAATACACACAGCACAAAGAAGTTACTGAGAATTCTTCTGTCTAGCATGAAATGAAGAAATCCCGTTTCCAACAAAGGCCTCAATGCGGTCCATATATCCACTTGCAGACTTTACAAACAGAGTGTTTCCAAACTGCTCTATGAAAAGAAAGGTTAAACTATGTGAGTTGAACGCACACATCACAAAGAATTTTCTGAGAATGATTCTGTCTGGTTTTTATTTGAAGATATTTCCCTTTCTACTGTTGGCATCAAATGGCTAGAAATCTCCACTTGCAAATTCCGCAAAAAGAGTGTTTCAAATCTGCTCTGTCTAAAGGGACGTTCCACTCTGTGAGTTGAATGCACACAACACAAAGAATTTACTGAGAATTCTTCCGTCTAGCATTCAATGAAGAAATCCCGTTTCCAACGAAGGCCTCAAACAGGTCCATATATCCACTTGCAGACTTTACAAACAGTGTGTTTCCAAACTCCTCTATGAAAAGAAAGGTTAAACTCTGTGAGTGGAACGCACACATCACAAAGCACTTTCTGAGAATGATTCTGTCTGGTTGTTATACGAAGATATTTCCTTTTCTGCAATTGTCCTCAAATCGCTTGAAATCTCCACCTGAAAATACCACAGCAAGAGTGTTTCAAATCTGCTCTCTCTAAAGCAAGGTTCAACTCTGTGAGTTGAATACACACAACACAAAAAAGTTACTGAGAACTCTTCTTAGTCTAGCATTAAAGGAAGAAACCCCGTTTGCAACGAAGGCCTCAAAGAGGTCCAAATATCCACTTGCAGACATAACAAGCAGAGTGTTTCTAAACTGCTCTAAGAAAAGAAAGGTTAAACTCTGTGAGTTGAAGGCACACATCACAAAGTAGTTTCTGAGAATGATTCTGTCTAGTTTTTATTTGAAGATATTTCCTTTTCTACTGTTGGCATCAAATCGCTTGAAATCTCCACTTGCAAACTCCACAAAAAGAGTGTTTCAAATCTGCTCTGTGCAAAGGGACGTTCCACTCTGTGAGTTGAATACACACAGCACAAAGAAGTTACTGAGAATTCTTCTGTCTAGCATGAAATGAAGAAATCCCGTTTCCAACGAAGGCCTCAATGCGGTCCATATATCCACTTGCAGACTTTACAAACAGTGTGTTTCCAAACTCCTCTATGAAAAGAAAGGTTAAACTCTGTGAGTTGAACGCACACATCACAAAGCACTTTCTGAGAATTATTCTGTCTGGTTTTTATTTGAAGCATATTTCCCTTTCTACTGTTGGCATCAAATGGCTAGAAATCTCCACTTGCAAATTCCGCAAAAAGAGTGTTTCAAATCTGCTCTGTCTAAAGGGACGTTCCACTCTGTGAGTTGAATGCACACCACACAAAGAATTTACTGAGAATTCTTCCGTCTAGCATTCAATGAAGAAATCCCGTTTCCAACGAAGGCCTCAAACAGGTCCATATATCCAATTGCAGACTTTACAAACAGTGTCTTTCCAAACTCCTCTATGAAAAGAAAGGTTAAACTCTGTGAGTTGAACGCACACATCACAAAGCACTTTCTGAGAATGATTCTGTCTGGTTATTATACGAAGATATTTCCTTTTCTGCAATTGTCCTCAAATCGCTTGAAATCTCCACCTGAAAATGCCACAGCAAGAGTGTTTCAAATCTGCTCTCTCTAAAGCAAGGTTCAACTCTGTGAGTTGAATACACACAACACAAAAAAGTTACTGAGAACTCTTCTTAGTCTAGCATTAAAGGAAGAAACCCCGTTTGCAACGAAGGCCTCAAAGAGGTCCAAATATCCACTTGCAGACATAACAAGCAGAGTGTTTCTAAACTGCTCTAAGAAAAGAAAGGTTAAACTCTGTGAGTTAAAGGCACACATCACAAAGTAGTTTCTGAGAATGATTCTGTCTAGTTTTTATTTGAAGATATTTCCTTTTCTACTGTTGGCATCAAATCGCTTGAAATCTCCACTTGCAAACTCCACAAAAAGAGTGTTTCAAATCTGCTCTGTGCAAAGGGACGTTCCACTCTGTGAGTTGAATACACACAGCACAAAGAAGTTACTGAGAATTCCTCTGTCTAGCATGAAATGAAGAAATCCCGTTTCCAACGAAGGCCTCAATGCGGTCCATATATCCACTTGCAGACTTTACAAACAGAGTGTTTCCAAACTGCTCTATGAAAAGAAAGGTTAAACTATGTGAGTTGAACGCACACATCACAAAGAATTTTCTGAGAATGATTCTGTCTGGTTTTTATTTGAAGATATTTCCCTTTCTACTGTTGGCATCAAATGGCTAGAAATCTCCACTTGCAAATTCCGCAAAAAGAGTGTTTCAAATCTGCTCTGTCTAAAGGGACGTTCCACTCTGTGAGTTGAATGCACACAACACAAAGAATTTACTGAGAATTCTTCCGTCTAGCATTCAATGAAGAAATCCCGTTTCCAACGAAGGCCTCAAACAGGTCCATATATCCACTTGCAGACTTTACAAACAGTGTGTTTCCAAACTCCTCTATGAAAAGAAAGGTTAAACTCTGTGAGTTGAACGCACACATCACAAAGCACTTTCTGAGAATGATTCTGTCTGGTTATTATACGAAGATATTTCCTTTTCTGCAATTGTCCTCAAATCGCTTGAAATCTCCACCTGAAAATGCCACAGCAAGAGTGTTTCAAATCTGCTCTCTCTAAAGCAAGTTTCAACTCTGTGAGTTGAATACACACAACACAAAAAAGTTACTGAGAACTCTTCTTAGTCTAGTATGAAAGGAAGAAACCCCGTTTGCAACGAAGGCCTCAAAGAGGTCCAAATATCCACTTGCAGACATAACAAGCAGAGTGTTTCTAAACTGCTCTAAGAAAAGAAAGGTTGAACTCTGTGAGTTGAAGGCACACATCACAAAGTAGTTTCTGAGAATGATTGTGTCTAGTTTTTATTTGAAGATATTTCCTTCTCTACTGTTGGCATCAAATCGCTTGAAATCTCCACTTGCAAACTCCACAAAAAGAGTGTTTCAAATCTGCTCTGTGCAAAGGGACGTTCCACTCTGTGAGTTGAATACACACAGCACAAAGAAGTTACTGAGAGATTCTTCTGTCTAGCATGAAATGGAGAAATCCCGTTTCCAACGAAGGCCTCAATGCGGTCCATATATCCACTTGCAGACTTTACAAACAGAGTGTTTCCAAACTGCTCTATGAAAAGAAAGGTTAAACTATGTGATTTGAACGCACACATCACAAAGAATTTTCTGAGAATGATTCTGTCTGGTTTTTATTTGAAGATATTTCCCTTTCTACTGTTGGCATCAAATGGCTAGAAATCTCCACTTGCAAATTCCGCAAAAAGAGTGTTTCAAATCTGCTCTGTCTAAAGGGACGTTCCACTCTGTGAGTTGAATGCACACAACACAAAGAATTTACTGAGAATTCTTCCGTCTAGCATTCAATGAAGAAATCCCGTTTCCAACGAAGGCCTCAAACAGGTCCATATATCCACTTGCAGACTTTACAAACAGTGTGTTTCCAAACTCCTCTATGAAAAGAAAGGTTAAACTCTGTGAGTTGAACGCACACATCACAAAGCACTTTCTGAGAATGATTCTGTCTGGTTATTATACGAAGATATTTCCTTTTCTGCAATTGTCCTCAAATCGCTTGAAATCTCCACCTGAAAATGCCACAGCAAGAGTGTTTCAAATCTGCTCTCTCTAAAGCAAGGTTCAACTCTGTGAGTTGAATACACACAACACAAAAAAGTTACTGAGAACTCTTCTTAGTCTAGCATGAAAGGAAGAAACCCCGTTTGCAACGAAGGCCTCAAAGAGGTCCAAATATCCACTTGCAGACATAACAAGCAGAGTGTTTCTAAACTGCTCTAAGAAAAGAAAGGTTAAACTCTGTGAGTTGAAGGCACACATCACAAAGTAGTTTCTGAGAATGATTCTGTCTAGTTTTTGTTTGCAGATATTTCATTTTCTACTGTTGGCATCAAATCGCTTGAAATCTCCACTTGCAAACTCCACAAAAAGAGTGTTTCAAATCTGCTCTGTGTAAAGGGACGTTCCACTCTGTGAGTTGAATACACACAGCACAAAGAAGTTACTGAGAATTCTTCTGTCTAGCATGAAATGAAGAAATCCCGTTTCCAACGAAGGCCTCAAAGCGGTCCATATATCCACTTGCAGACATTACCAACAGAGTGTTCCCAAACTGCTCTATGAAAAGAAAGGTTAAACTATGTGAGTTGAACGCACACATCACAAAGAAATTTCTGAGAATGATTCTGTCTGGTTTTTATTTGAAGATATTTCCCTTTCTACTGTTGGCATCAAATGGCTAGAAATCTCCACTTGCAAATTCCGCAAAAAGAGTGTTTCAAATCTGCTCTGTCTAAAGGGACGTTCCACTCTGTGAGTTGAATGCACACAACACAAAGAATTTACTGAGAATTCTTCCGTCTAGCATTCAATGAAGAAATCCCGTTTCCAACGAAGGCCTCAAACAGGTCCATATATCCACTTGCAGACTTTACGAACAGTGTGTTTCCAAACTCCTCTATGAAAAGAAAGGTTAAACTCTGTGAGTGGAACGCACACATCACAAAGCACTTTCTGAGAATGATTCTGTCTGGTTATTATACGAAGATATTTCCTTTTCTGCAATTGTCCTCAAATCGCTTGAAATCTCCACCTGAAAATGCCACAGCAAGAGTGTTTCAAATCTGCTCTCTCTAAAGCAAGGTTCAACTCTGTGAGTTGAATACACACAACACAAAAAAGTTACTGAGAACTCTTCTTAGTCTAGCATTAAAGGAAGAAACCCCGTTTGCAACGAAGGCCTCAAAGAGGTCCAAATATCCACTTGCAGACATAACAAGCAGAGTGTTTCTAAACTGCTCTAAGAAAAGAAAGGTTAAACTCTGTGAGTTGAAGGCACACATCACAAAGTAGTTTCTGAGAATGATTCTGTCTAGTTTTTATTTGAAGATATTTCCTTTTCTACTGTTGGCATCAAATCGCTTGAAATCTCCACTTTCAAACTCCACAAAAAGAGTGTTTCAAATCTGCTCTGTGCAAAGGGACGTTCCACTCTGTGAGTTGAGTACACACAGCACAAAGAAGTTACTGAGAATTCTTCTGTCTAGCATGAAATGAAGAAATCCCGTTTCCAACGAAGGCCTCAATGCGGTCCATATATCCACTTGCAGACTTTACAAACAGAGTGTTTCCAAACTGCTCTATGAAAAGAAAGGTTAAACTATGTGAGTTGAACGCACACATCACAAAGAATTTTCTGAGAATGATTCTGTCTGGTTTTTATTTGAAGATATTTCCCTTTCTACTGTTGGCATCTAATGGCTAGAAATCTCCACTTGCAAATTCCGCAAAAAGAGTGTTTCAAATCTGCTCTGTCTAAAGGGACGTTCCACTCTGTCAGTTGAATGCACACAACACAAAGAATTTACTGAGAATTCTTCCGTCTAGCATTCAATGAAGAAATCCCGTTTCCAACGAAGGCCTCAAACAGGTCCATATATCCAATTGCAGACTTTACAAACAGTGTGTTTCCAAACTCCTCTATGAAAAGAAAGGTTAAACTCTGTGAGTTGAACGCACACATCACAAAGCACTTTCTGAGAATGATTCTGTCTGGTTATTATACGAAGATATTTCCTTTTCTGCAATTGTCCTCAAATCGCTTGAAATCTCCACCTGAAAATGCCACAGCAAGAGTGTTTCAAATCTGCTCTCTCTAAAGCAAGGTTCAACTCTGTGAGTTGAATACACACAACACAAAAAAGTTACTGAGAACTCTTCTTAGTCTAGCATGAAAGGAAGAAACCCCGTTTGCAACGAAGGCCTCAAAGAGGTCCAAATATCCACTTGCAGACATAACAAGCAGAGTGTTTCTAAACTGCTCTAAGAAAAGAAAGGTTAAACTCTGTAAGTTGAAGGCACACATCACAAAGTAGTTTCTGAGAATGATTCTGTCTAGTTTTTATTTGAAGATATTTCCTTTTCTACTGTTGGCATCAAATCGCTTGAAATCTCCACTTGCAAACTCCACAAAAAGAGTGTTTCAAATCTGCTCTGTGTAAAGGGACGTTCCACTCTGTGAGTTGAATACACACAGCACAAAGAAGTTACTGAGAATTCTTCTGTCTAGCATGAAATGAAGAAATCCCGTTTCCAACGAAGGCCTCAATGCGGTCCATATATCCACTTGCAGACTTTACAAACAGAGTGTTTCCAAACTGCTCTATGAAAAGAAAGGTTAAACTATGTGAGTTGAACGCACACATCACAAAGAATTTTCTGAGAATGATTCTGTCTGGTTTTTATTTGAAGATATTTCCCTTTCTACTGTTGGCATCAAATGGCTAGAAATCTCCACTTGCAAATTCCGCAAAAAGAGTGTTTCAAATCTGCTCTGTCTAAAGGGACGTTCCACTCTGTCAGTTGAATGCACACAACACAAAGAATTTACTGAGAATTCTTCCGTCTAGCATTCAATGAAGAAATCCCGTTTCCAACGAAGGCCTCAAACAGGTCCATATATCCACTTGCAGACTTTACAAACAGTGTGTTTCCAAACTCCTCTATGAAAAGAAAGGTTAAACTCTGTGAGTGGAACGCACACATCACAAAGCACTTTCTGAGAATGATTCTGTCTGGTTGTTATACGAAGATATTTCCTTTTCTGCAATTGTCCTCAAATCGCTTGAAATCTCCACCTGAAAATGCCACAGCAAGAGTGTTTCAAATCTGCTCTCTCTAAAGCAAGGTTCAACTCTGTGAGTTGAATACACACAACACAAAAAAGTTACTGAGAACTCTTCTTAGTCTAGCATGAAAGGAAGAAACCCCGTTTGCAACGAAGGCCTCAAAGAGGTCCAAATATCCACTTGCAGACATAACAAGCAGAGTGTTTCTAAACTGCTCTAAGAAAAGAAAGGTTAAACTCTGTGAGTTGAAGGCACACATCACGAAGTAGTTTCTGAGAATGATTCTGTCTAGTTTTTATTTGAAGATATTTCCTTTTCTACTGTTGGCATCAAATCGCTTGAAATCTCCACTTGCAAACTCCACAAAAAGAGTGTTTCAAATCTGCTCTGTGCAAAGGGACGTTCCACTCTGTGAGTTGAATACACACAGCACAAAGAAGTTACTGAGAATTCTTCTGTCTAGCATGAAATGAAGAAATCCCGTTTCCAACGAAGGCCTCAATGCGGTCCATAGATCCACTTGCAGACTTTACAAACAGAGTGTTTCCAAACTGCTCTATGAAAAGAAAGGTTAAACTATGTGAGTTGAACGCACACATCACAAAGAATTTTCTGAGAATGATTCTGTCTGGTTTTTATTTGAAGATATTTCCCTTTCTACTGTTGGCATCAAATGGCTAAAAATCTCCACTTGCAAATTCCGCAAAAAGAGTGTTTCAAATCTGCTCTGTCTAAAGGGACGTTCCACTCTGTCAGTTGAATGCACACAACACAAAGAATTTACTGAGAATTCTTCCGTCTAGCATTCAATGAAGAAATCCCGTTTCCAACGAAGGCCTCAAACAGGTCCATATATCCAATTGCAGACTTTACAAACAGTGTGTTTCCACACTCCTCTATGAAAAGAAAGGTTAAACTCTGTGAGTTGAACGCACACATCACAAAGCACTTTCTGAGAATGATTCTGTCTGGTTATTATACGAAGATATTTCCTTTTCTGCAATTGTCCTCAAATCGCTTGAAATCTCCACCTGAAAATGCCACAGCAAGAGTGTTTCAAATCTGCTCTCTCTAAAGCAAGGTTCAACTCTGTGAGTTGAATACACACAACACAAAAAGTTACTGAGAACTCTTCTTAGTCTAGCATGAAAGGAAGAAACCCCGTTTGCAACGAAGGCCTCAAAGAGGTCCAAATATCCATTTGCAGACATAACAAGCAGAGTGTTTCTAAACTGCTCTAAGAAAAGAAAGGTTAAACTCTGTGAGTTGAAGGCACACATCACAAAGTAGTTTCTGAGAATGATTCTGTCTAGTTTTTATTTGAAGATATTTCCTTTTCTACTGTTGGCATCAAATCGCTTGAAATCTCCACTTGCAAACTCCACAAAAAGAGTGTTTCAAATCTGCTCTGTGTAAAGGGACGTTCCACTCTGTGAGTTGAATACACACAGCACAAAGAAGTTACTGAGAATTCTTCTGTCTAGCATGAAATGAAGAAATCCCGTTTCCAACGAAGGCCTCAATGCGGTCCATATATCCACTTGCAGACTTTACAAACAGAGTGTTTCCAAACTGCTCTATGAAAAGAAAGGTTAAACTATGTGAGTTGAACGCACACATCACAAAGAATTTTCTGAGAATGATTCTGTCTGGTTTTTATTTGAAGATATTTCCCTTTCTACTGTTGGCATCAAATGGCTAGAAATCTCCACTTGCAAATTCCGCCAAAAAGTGTTTCAAATCTGCTCTGTCTAAAGGGACGTTCCACTCTGTGAGTTGAATGCACACAACACAAAGAATTTACTGAGAATTCTTCCGTCTAGCATTCAATGAAGAAATCCCGTTTCCAACGAAGGCCTCAAACAGGTCCATATATCCAATTGCAGACATTACAAATAGTGTGTTTCCAAACTCCTCTATGAAAAGAAAGGTTAAACTCTGTGAGTTGAACGCACACATCACAAAGCACTTTCTGAGAATGATTCTGTCTGGTTATTATACGAAGATATTTCCTTTTCTGCAATTGTCCTCAAATCGCTTGAAATCTCCACCTGAAAATGCCACAGCAAGAGTGTTTCAAATCTGCTCTCTCTAAAGCAAGGTTCAACTCTGTGAGTTGAATACACACAACACAAAAAAGTTACTGAGAACTCTTCTTAGTCTAGCATGAAAGGAAGAAACCCCGTTTGCAACGAAGGCCTCAAAGAGGTCCAAATATCCACTTGCAGACATAACAAGCAGAGTGTTTCTAAACTGCTCTAAGAAAAGAAAGGTTAAACTCTGTGAGTTGAAGGCACACATCACAAAGTAGTTTCTGAGAATGATTCTGTCTAGTTTTTATTTGAAGATATTTCCTTTTCTACTGTTGGCATCAAATCGCTTGAAATCTCCACTTGCAAACTCCACAAAAAGAGTGTTTCAAATCTGCTCTGTGCAAAGGGACGTTCCACTCTGTGAGTTGAATACACACAGCACAAAGAAGTTACTGAGAATTCTTCTGTCTAGCATGAAATGAAGAAATCCCGTTTCCAACGAAGGCCTCAATGCGGTCCATATATCCACTTGCAGACTTTACAAACAGAGTGTTTCCAAACTGCTCTATGAAAAGAAAGGTTAAACTATGTGAGTTGAACGCACACATCACAAAGAATTTTCTGAGAATGATTCTGTCTGGTTTTTATTTGAAGATATTTCCCTTTCTACTGTTGGCATCAAATGGCTAGAAATCTCCACTTGCAAATTCCGCAAAAAGAGTGTTTCAAATCTGCTCTGTCTAAAGGGACGTTCCACTCTGTGAGTTGAATGCACACAACACAAAGAATTTACTGAGAATTCTTCCGTCTAGCATTCAATGAAGAAATCCCGTTTCCAACGAAGGCCTCAAACAGGTCCATATATCCAATTGCAGACTTTACAAACAGTGTGTTTCCAAACTCCTCTATGAAAAGAAAGGTTAAACTCTGTGAGTTGAACGCACACATCACAAAGCACTTTCTGAGAATGATTCTGTCTGGTTGTTATACGAAGATATTTCCTTTTCTGCAATTGTCCTCAAATCGCTTGAAATCTCCACCTGAAAATGCCACATCAAGAGTGTTTCAAATCTGCTCTCTCTAAAGCAAGGTTCAACTCTGTGAGTTGAATACACACAACACAAAAAAGTTACTGAGAACTCTTCTTAGTCTAGCATGAAAGGAAGAAACCCCGTTTGCAACGAAGGCCTCAAAGAGGTCCAAATATCCACTTGCAGACATAACAAGCAGAGTGTTTCTAAACTGCTCTAAGAAAAGAAAGGTTAAACTCTGTGAGTTGAAGGCACACATCACAAAGTAGTTTCTGAGAATGATTCTGTCTAGTTTTTATTTGAAGATATTTCCTTTTCTACTGTTGGCATCAAATCGCTTGAAATCTCCACTTGCAAACTCCACAAAAAGAGTGTTTCAAATCTGCTCTGTGTAAAGGGACGTTCCACTCTGTGAGTTGAATACACACAGCACAAAGAAGTTACTGAGAATTCTTCTGTCTAGCATGAAGTGAAGAAATCCCGTTTCCAACGAAGGCCTCAATGCGGTCCATATATCCACTTGCAGACTTTACAAACAGAGTGTTTCCAAACTGCTCTATGAAAAGAAAGGTTAAACTATGTGAGTTGAACGCACACATCACAAAGAATTTTCTGAGAATGATTCTGTCTGGTTTTTATTTGAAGATATTTCCCTTTCTACTGTTGGCATCAAATGGCTAGAAATCTCCACTTGCAAATTCCGCAAAAAGAGTGTTTCAAATCTGCTCTGTCTAAAGGGACGTTCCACTCTGTGAGTTGAATGCACACAACACAAAGAATTTACTGAGAATTCTTCCGTCTAGCATTCAATGAAGAAATCCCGTTTCCAACGAAGGCCTCAAACAGGTCCATATATCCACTTGCAGACTTTACAAACAGTGTGTTTCCAAACTCCTCTATGAAAAGAAAGGTTAAACTCTGTGAGTGGAACGCACACATCACAAAGCACTTTCTGAGAATGATTCTGTCTGGTTGTTATACGAAGATATTTCCTTTTCTGCAATTGTCCTCAAATCGCTTGAAATCTCCACCTGAAAATGCCACAGCAAGAGTGTTTCAAATCTGCTCTCTCTAAAGCAAGGTTCAGCTCTGTGAGTTGAATACACACAACACAAAAAAGTTACTGAGAACTCTTCTTAGTCTAGCATGAAAGGAAGAAACCCCGTTTGCAACGAAGGCCTCAAAGAGGTCCAAATATCCACTTGCAGACATAACAAGCAGAGTGTTTCTAAACTGCTCTAAGAAAAGAAAGGTTAAACTCTGTGAGTTGAAGGCACACATCACAAAGTAGTTTCTGAGAATGATTCTGTCTAGTTTTTATTTGAAGATATTTCCTTTTCTACTGTTGGCATCAAATCGCTTGAAATCTCCACTTGCAAACTCCACAAAAAGAGTGTTTCAAATCTGCTCTGTGTAAAGGGACGTTCCACTCTGTGAGTTGAATACACACAGCACAAAGAAGTTACTGAGAATTCTTCTGTCTAGCACGAAATGAAGAAATCCCGTTTCCAACGAAGGCCTCAATGCGGTCCATATATCCACTTGCAGACTTTACAAACAGAGTGTTTCCAAACTGCTCTATGAAAAGAAAGGTAAAACTATGTGAGTTGAACGCACACATCACAAAGAATTTTCTGAGAATGATTTCTGTCTGGTTTTTATTTGAAGATATTTCCCTTTCTACTGTTGGCATCAAATGGCTAGAAATCTCCACTTGCAAATTCCGCAAAAAGAGTGTTTCAAATCTGCTCTGTCTAAAGGGACGTTCCACTCTGTGAGTTGAATGCACACAACACAAAGAATTTACTGAGAATTCTTCCGTCTAGCATTCAATGAAGAAATCCCGTTTCCAACGAAGGCCTCAAACAGGTCCATATATCCAATTGCAGACTTTACAAACAGTGTGTTTCCAAACTCCTCTATGAAAAGAAAGGTTAAACTCTGTGAGTTGAACGCACACATCACAAAGCACTTTCTGAGAATGATTCTGTCTGGTTGTTATACGAAGATATTTCCTTTTCCGCAATTGTCCTCAAATCGCTTGAAATCTCCACCTGAAAATGCCACAGCAAGAGTGTTTCAAATCTGCTCTCTCTAAAGCAAGGTTCAACTCTGTGAGTTGAATACACACAACACAAAAAAGTTACTGAGAACTCTTCTTAGTCTAGCATTAAAGGAAGAAACCCCGTTTGCAACGAAGGCCTCAAAGAGGTCCAAATATCCACTTGCAGACATAACAAGCAGAGTGTTTCTAAACTGCTCTAAGAAAAGAAAGGTTAAACTCTGTGTGTTGAAGGCACACATCACAAAGTAGTTTCTGAGAATGATTCTGTCTAGTTTTTATTTGAAGATATTTCCTTTTCTACTGTTGGCATCAAATCGCTTGAAATCTCCACTTGCAAATTCCACAAAAAGAGTGTTTCAAATCTGCTCTGTGCAAAGGGACGTTCCACTCTGTGAGTTGAATACACACAGCACAAAGAAGTTACTGAGAATTCTTCTGTCTAGCATGAAATGAAGAAATCCCGTTTCCAACGAAGGCCTCAATGCGGTCCATATATCCACTTGCAGACTTTACAAACAGAGTGTTTCCAAACTGCTCTATGAAAAGAAAGGTTAAACTATGTGAGTTGAACGCACACATCACAAAGAATTTTCTGAGAATGATTCTGTCTGGTTTTTATTTGAAGATGTTTCCCTTTCTACTGTTGGCATCAAATGGCTAGAAATCTCCACTTGCAAATTCCGCAAAAAGAGTGTTTCAAATCTGCTCTGTCTAAAGGGACGTTCCACTCTGTGAGTTGAATGCACACAACACAAAGAATTTACTGAGAATTCTTCCGTCTAGCATTCAATGAAGAAATCCCGTTTCCAACGAAGGCCTCAAACAGGTCCATATATCCAATTGCAGACTTTACAAACAGTGTGTTTCCAAACTCCTCTATGAAAAGAAAGGTTAAACTCTGTGAGTTGAACGCACACATCACAAACCATTTTCTGAGAATGATTCTGTCTGGTTATTATACGAAGATATTTCCTTTTCTGCAATTCTCCTCAAATCGCTTGAAATCTCCACCTGAAAATGCCACAGCAAGAGTGTTTCAAATCTGCTCTCTCTAAAGCAAGGTTCAACTCTGTGAGTTGAATACACACAACACAAAAAAGTTACTGAGAACTCTTCTTAGTCTAGCATGAAAGGAAGAAACCCCGTTTGCAACGAAGACCTCAAAGAGGTCCAAATATCCACTTGCAGACATAACAAGCAGAGTGTTTCTAAACTGCTCTAAGAAAAGAAAGGTTAAACTCTGTGAGTTGAAGGCACACATCACAAAGTAGTTTCTGAGAATGATTCTGTCTAGTTTTTATTTGAAGATATTTCCTTTTCTACTGTTGGCATCAAATCGCTTGAAATCTCCACTTGCAAACTCCACAAAAAGAGTGTTTCAAATCTGCTCTGTGCAAAGGGACGTTCCACTCTGTGAGTTGAATACACACAGCACAAAGAAGTTACTGAGAATTCTTCTGTCTAGCATGAAATGAAGAAATCCCGTTTCCAACGAAGGCCTCAATGCGGTCCATATATCCACTTGCAGACTTTACAAACAGAGTGTTTCCAAACTGCTCTATGAAAAGAAAGGTTAAACTATGTGAGTTGAACGCACACATCACAAAGAATTTTCTGAGAATGATTCTGTCTGGTTTTTATTTGAAGATGTTTCCCTTTCTACTGTTGGCATCAAATGGCTAGAAATCTCCACTTGCAAATTCCGCAAAAAGAGTGTTTCAAATCTGCTCTGTCTAAAGAGACGTTCCACTCTGTGAGTTGAATGCACACAACACAAAGAATTTACTGAGAATTCTTCCGTCTAGCATTCAATGAAGAAATCCCGTTTCCAACGAAGGCCTCAAACAGGTCCATATATCCACTTGCAGACTTTACAAACAGTGTGTTTCCAAACTCCTCTATGGAAAGAAAGGTTAAACTCTGTGAGTTGAACGCACACATCACAAAGCACTTTCTGAGAATGATTCTGTCTGGTTATTATACGAAGATATTTCCTTTTCTGCAATTGTCCTCAAATCGCTTGAAATCTCCACCTGAAAATGCCACAGCAAGAGTGTTTCAAATCTGCTCTCTCTAAAGCAAGGTTCAACTCTGTGAGTTGAATACACACAACACAAAAAAGTTACTGAGAACTCTTCTTAGTCTAGCATGAAAGGAAGAAACCCCGTTTGCAACGAAGGCCTCAAAGAGGTCCAAATATCCACTTGCAGACATAACAAGCACAGTGTTTCTAAAGTGCTCTAAGAAAAGAAAGGTTAAACTCTGTGAGTTGAAGGCACACATCACAAAGTAGTTTCTGAGAATGATTCTGTCTAGTTTTTATTTGAAGATATTTCCTTTTCTACTGTTGGCATCAAATCGCTTGAAATCTCCACTTGCAAACTCCACAAAAAGAGTGTTTCAAATCTGCTCTGTGTAAAGGGACGTTCCACTCTGTGAGTTGAATACACACAGCACAAAGAAGTTACTGAGAATTCTTCTGTCTAGCATGAAATGAAGAAATCCCGTTTCCAACGAAGGCCTCAATGCGGTCCATATATCCACTTGCAGACTTTACAAACAGAGTGTTTCCAAACTGCTCTATGAAAAGAAAGGTTAAACTATGTGAGTTGAACGCACACATCACAAAGAATTTTCTGAGAATGATTCTGTCTGGTTTTTATTTGAAGATATTTCCCTTTCTACTGTTGGCATCAAATGGCTAGAAATCTCCACTTGCAAATTCCGCAAAAAGAGTGTTTCAAATCTGCTCTGTCTAAAGGGACGTTCCACTCTGTCAGTTGAATTCACACAACACAAAGAATTTACTGAGAATTCTTCCGTCTAGCATTCAATGAAGAAATCCCGTTTCCAACGAAGGCCTCAAACAGGTCCATATATCCAATTGCAGACTTTACAAACAGTGTGTTTCCAAACTCCTCTATGAAAAGAAAGGTTAAACTCTGTGAGTTGAACGCACACATCACAAAGCACTTTCTGAGAATGATTCTGTCTGGTTATTATACGAAGATATTTCCTTTTCTGCAATTGTCCTCAAATCGCTTGAAATCTCCACCTGAAAATGCCACAGCAAGAGTGTTTCAAATCTGCTCTCTCTAAAGCAAGGTTCAACTCTGTGAGTTGAATACACACAACACAAAAAAGTTACTGAGAACTCTTCTTAGTCTAGCATGAAAGGAAGAAACCCCGTTTGCAACGAAGGCCTCAAAGAGGTCCAAATATCCACTTGCAGACATAACAAGCAGAGTGTTTCTAAACTGCTCTAAGAAAAGAAAGGTTAAACTCTGTGAGTTGAAGGCACACATCACAAAGCACTTTCTGAGAATGATTCTGTCTGGTTGTTATACGAAGATATTTCCTTTTCTACTGTTGGCATCAAATCGCTTGAAATCTCCACTTGCAAACTCCACAAAAAGAGTGTTTCAAATCTGCTCTGTGCAAAGGGACGTTCCACTCTGTGAGTTGAATACACACAGCACAAAGAAGTTACTGAGAATTCTTCTGTCTAGCATGAAATGAAGAAATCCCGTTTCCAACGAAGGCCTCAATGCGGTCCATATATCCACTTGCAGACTTTACAAACAGAGTGTTTCCAAACTGCTCTATGAAAAGAAAGGTTAAACTATGTGAGTTGAACGCACACATCACAAAGAATTTTCTGAGAATGATTCTGTCTGGTTTTTATTTGAAGATATTTCCCTTTCTACTGTTGGCATCAAATGGCTAGAAATCTCCACTTGCAAATTCCGCAAAAAGAGTGTTTCAAATCTGCTCTGTCTTAAGGGACGTTCCACTCTGTCAGTTGAATGCACACAACACAAAGAATTTACTGAGAATTCTTCCGTCTAGCATTCAATGAAGAAATCCCGTTTCCAACGAAGGCCTCAAACAGGTCCATATATCCAATTGCAGACTTTACAAACAGTGTGTTTCCAAACTCCTCTATGAAAAGAAAGGTTAAACTCTGTGAGTTGAACGCACACATCACAAAGCACTTTCTGAGAATGATTCTGTCTAGTTTTTATTTGAAGATATTTCCCTTTCCACTGTTGGCATCAAATGGCTAGAAATCTCCACTTGCAACTTCCGCAAAAAGAGTGTTTCAAATCTGCTCTGTCTAAAGGGACGTTCCACTGTGTGAGTTGAATGCACACAACACAAAGAATTTACTGAGAATTCTTCCGTCTAGCATTCAATGAAGAAATCCCGTTTCCAACGAAGGCCTCAAACAGGTCCATATATCCACTTGCAGACGTTACAAACAGTGTGTTTCCAAACTCCTCTATGAAAAGAAAGGTTAAACTCTGTGAGTTGAACGCACACATCACAAAGCACTTTCTGTGAATGATTCTGTCTGGTTATTATACGAAGATATTTCCTTTTCTGCAATTGTCCTCAAATCGCTTGATATCTCCACCTGAAAATGCCACAGCAAGAGTGTTTCAAATCTGCTCTCTCTAAAGCAAGGTTCAACTCTGTGAGTTGAATACACACAACACAAAAAAGTTACTGAGAACTCTTCTTAGTCTAGCGTGAAAGGAAGAAACCCCATTTGCAACGAAGGCCTCAAAGAGGTCCAAATATCCACTTGCAGACATAACAAGGAGAGTGTTTCTAAACTGCTCTAAGAAAAGAAAGGTTAAACTCTGTGAGTTGAAGGCACACATCACAAAGTAGTTTCTGAGAATGATTCTGTCTAGTTTTTATTTGAAGATATTTCCTTTTCTACTGTTGGCATCAAATCGCTTGAAATCTCCACTTGCAAACTCCACAAAAAGAGTGTTTCAAATCTGCTCTGTGCAAAGGGATGTTCCACTCTGTGAGTTGAATACACACAGCACAAAGAAGTTACTGAGAATTCTTCTGTCTAGTATGAAATGAAGAAATCCCGTTTCCAACGAAGGCCTCAATGCGGTCCATATATCCACTTGCAGACTTTACAAACAGAGTGTTTCCAAACTGCTCCATGAAAAGAAAGGTTAAACTATGTGAGTTGAACGCACACATCACAAAGAATTTTCTGAGAATGATTCTGTCTGGTTTTTATTTGAAGATATTTCCCTTTCTACTGTTGGCATCAAATGGCTAGAAATCTCCACTTGCAAATTCCGCAAAAAGAGTGTTTCAAATCTGCTCTGTCTAAAGGGACGTTCCACTCTGTGAGTTGAATGCACACAACACAAAGAATTTACTGAGAATTCTTCCGTCTAGCATTCAATGAAGAAATCCCGTTTCCAACGAAGGCCTCAAACAGGTCCATATATCCAATTGCAGACTTTACAAACAGTGTGTTTCCAAACTCCTCTATGAAAAGAAAGGTTAAACTCTGTGAGTTGAACGCACACATCACAAAGCACTTTCTGAGAATGATTCTGTCTGGTTGTTATACGAAGATATTTCCTTTTCTGCAATTGTCCTCAAATCGCTTGAAATCTCCACCTGAAAATGCCACAGCAAGAGTGTTTCAAATCTGCTCTCTCTAAAGCAAGGTTCAACTCTGTGAGTTGAATACACACAACACAAAAAAGTTACTGAGAACTCTTCTTAGTCTAGCATTAAAGGAAGAAACCCCGTTTGCAACGAAGGCCTCAAAGAGGTCCAAATATCCACTTGCAGACATAACAAGCAGAGTGTTTCTAAACTGCTCTAAGAAAAGAAAGGTTAAACTCTGTGAGTTGAAGGCACACATCACAAAGTAGTTTCTGAGAATGATTCTGTCTAGTTTTTATTTGAAGATATTTCCTTTTCTACTGTTGGCATCAAATCGCTTGAAATCTCCACTTGCAAACTCCACAAAAAGAGTGTTTCAAATCTGCTCTGTGTAAAGGGACGTTCCACTCTGTGAGTTGAATACACACAGCACAAAGAAGTTACTGAGAATTCTTCTGTCTAGCATGAAATGAAGAAATCCCGTTTCCAACGAAGGCCTCAATGCGGTCCATATATCCACTTGCAGACTTTACAAACAGAGTGTTTCCAAACTGCTCTATGAAAAGAAAGGTTAAACTATGTGAGTTGAACGCACACATCACAAAGAATTTTCTGAGAATGATTCTGTCTGGTTTTTATTTGAAGATATTTCCCTTTCTACTGTTGGCATCAAATGGCTAGAAATCTCCACTTGCAAATTCCGCAAAAAGAGTGTTTCAAATCTGCTCTGTCTAAAGGGACGTTCCACTCTGTGAGTTGAATGCACACAACACAAAGAATTTACTGAGAATTCTTCCGTCTAGCATTCAATGAAGAAATCCCGTTTCCAACGAAGGCCTCAAACAGGTCCATATATCCACTTGCAGACTTTACAAACAGTGTGTTTCCAAACTCCTCTATGAAAAGAAAGGTTAAACTCTGTGAGTGGAACGCACACATCACAAAGCACTTTCTGAGAATGATTCTGTCTGGTTGTTATACGAAGATATTTCCTTTTCTGCAATTGTCCTCAAATCGCTTGAAATCTCCACCTGAAAATGCCACAGCAAGAGTGTTTCAAATCTGCTCTCTCTAAAGCAAGGTTCAACTCTGTGAGTTGAATACACACAACACAAAAAAGTTACTGAGAACTCTTCTTAGTCTAGCATGAAAGGAAGAAACCCCGTTTGCAACGAAGGCCTCAAAGAGGTCCAAATATCCACTTGCAGACATAACAAGCAGAGTGTTTCTAAACTGCTCTAAGAAAAGAAAGGTTAAACTCTGTGAGTTGAAGGCACACATCACAAAGTAGTTTCTGAGAATGATTCTGTCTAGTTTTTATTTGAAGATATTTCCTTTTCTACTGTTGGCATCAAATCTCTTGAAATCTCCACTTGCAAACTCCACAAAAAGAGTGTTTCAAATCTGCTCTGTGTAAAGGGACGTTCCACTCTGTGAGTTGAATACACACAGCACAAAGAAGTTACTGAGAATTCTTCTGTCTAGCATGAAATGAAGAAATCCCGTTTCCAACGAAGGCCTCAATGCGGTCCATATATCCACTTGCAGACTTTACAAACAGAGTGTTTCCAAACTGCTCTATGAAAAGAAAGGTTAAACTATGTGAGTTGAACGCACACATCACAAACAATTTTCTGAGAATGATTCTGTCTGGTTTTTATTTGAAGATATTTCCCTTTCTACTGTTGGCATCAAATGGCTAGAAATCTCCACTTGCAAATTCCGCAAAAAGAGTGTTTCAAATCTGCTCTGTCTAAAGGGACGTTCCACTCTGTGAGTTGAATGCACACAACACAAAGAATTTACTGAGAATTCTTCCGTCTAGCATTCAATGAAGAAATCCCGTTTCCAACGAAGGCCTCAAACAGGTCCATATATCCACTTGCAGACTTTACAAACAGTGTGTTTCCAAACTCCTCTATGAAAAGAAAGGTTAAACTCTGTGAGTGGAACGCACACATCACAAAGCACTTTCTGAGAATGATTCTGTCTGGTTTTTATACGAAGATATTTCCTTTTCTGCAATTGTCCTCAAATCGCTTGAAATCTCCACCTGAAAATTCCACAGCAAGAGTGTTTCAAATCTGCTCTCTCTAAAGCAAGTTTCAACAATGTGAGTTGAATACACACAACACAAAAAAGTCACTGAGAACTCTTCTTAGTCTAGCATTAAAGGAAGAAACCCCGTTTGCAACGAAGGCCTCAAAGAGGTCCAAATATCCACTTGCAGACATAACAAGCAGAGTGTTTCTAATCTGCTCTAAGAAAAGAAAGGTTAAACTCTGTGAGTTGAAGGCACACATCACAAAGTAGTTTCTGAGAATGATTCTGTCTAGTTTTTATTTGAAGATATTTCCTTTTCTACTGCTGGCATCAAATCGCTTGAAATCTCCACTTGCAAATTCCACAAAAAGAGTGTTTGAAATCTGCTCTGTCTAAAGGGACGTTCCACACTGTGAGTTGAATACACACAACACAGAGGAGTTACTGAGAATTCTTCTGTCTAGCATGAAATGAAGAAATCCCGTTTCCAACGAAGGCCTCAATGCGGTCCATATATCCACTTGCAGACTTAACAAACAGAGTGTTTCCAAACTGCTCTATGAAAAGAAAGGTTAAACTATGTGAGTTGAACGCACACATCACAAAGAATTTTCTGAGAATGATTCTGCCTGGTTTTTATTTGAAGATATTTCCCTTTCTACTGTTGGCATCAAATGGCTAGAAATCTCCACTTGCAAATTCCGCAAAAAGAGTGTTTCAAATCTGCTCTGTCTAAAGGGACGTTCCACTCTGTGAGTTGAATGCACACAACACAAAGAATTTACTGAGAATTCTTCCGTCTAGCATTCAATGAAGAAATCCCGTTTCCAACGAAGGCCTCAAACAGGTCCATATATCCACTTGCAGACTTTACAAACAGTGTGTTTCCAAACTCCTCTATGAAAAGAAAGGTTAAACTCTGTGAGTGGAACGCACACATCACAAAGCACTTTATGAGAATGATTCTGTCTGGTTATTATACGAAGATATTTCCTTTTCTGCAATTGTCCTCAAATCGCTTGAAATCTCCACCTGAAAATGCCACAGCAAGAGTGTTTCAAATCTGCTCTCTCTAAAGCAAGGTTCAACTCTGTGAGTTGAATACACACAGCACAAAGAAGTTACTGAGAATTCTTCTGTCTAGCATGAAATGAAGAAATCCCGTTTCCAACGAAGGCCTCAATGTGGTCCATATATCCACTTGCAGACTTTACAAACAGAGTGTTTCCAAACTGCTCTATGAAAAGAAAGGATAAACTATGTGAGTTGAACGCACACATCACAAAGAATTTTCTGAGAATGATTCTGTCTGGTTTTTATTTGAAGATATTTCCCTTTCTACTGTTGGCATCAAATGGCTAGAAATCTCCACTTGCAAATTCCGCAAAAAGAGTGTTTCAAATCTGCTCTGTCTAAAGGGACGTTCCACTCTGTGAGTTGAATGCACACAACACAAAGAATTTACTGAGAATTCTCCGTCTAGCATTCAATGAAGAAATCCCGTTTCCAACGAAGGCCTCAAACAGGTCCATATATCCAATTGCAGACATTACAAACAGTGTGTTTCCAAACTCCTCTATGAAAAGAAAGGTTAAACTCTGTGAGTTGAACGCACACATCACAAAGCACTTTCTGAGAATGTTTCTCTCTGGTTATTATACGAAGATATTTCCTTTTCTGCAATTGTCCTCAAATCGCTTGAAATCTCCACCTGAAAATGCCACAGCAAGAGTGTTTCAAATCTGCTCTCTCTAAAGCAAGGTTCAACTCTGTGAGTTGAATACACACAGCACAAAGAAGTTACTGAGAATTCTTCTGTCTAGCATGAAATGAAGAAATCCCGTTTCCAACGAAGGCCTCAATGCGGTCCATATATCCACTTGCAGACTTTACAAACAGAGTGTTTCCAAACTGCTCTATGAAAAGAAAGGTTAAACTATGTGAGTTGAACGCACACATCACAAAGAATTTTCTGAGAATGATTCTGTCTGGTTTTTATTTGAAGATATTTCCCTTTCTACTGTTGGCATCAAATGGCTAGAAATCTCCACTTGCAAATTCCGCAAAAAGAGTGTTTCAAATCTGCTCTGTCTAAAGGGACGTTCCACTCTGTGAGTTGAATGCACACAACACAAAGAATTTACTGAGAATTCTTCCGTCTAGCATTCAATGAAGAAATCCCGTTTCCAACGAAGGCCTCAAACAGGTCCATATATCCAATTGCAGACTTTACAAACAGTGTGTTTCCAAACTCCTCTATGAAAAGAAAGGTTAAACTCTGTGAGTTGAACGCACACATCACAAAGCACTTTTTGAGAATGATTCTGTCTGGTTATTATACGAAGATATTTCCTTTTCTGCAATTGTCCTCAAATCGCTTGAAATCTCCACCTGAAAATGCCACAGCAAGAGTGTTTCAAATCTGCTCTCTCTAAAGCAAGGTTCAACTCTGTGAGTTGAATACACACAACACAAAAAAGTTACTGAGAACTCTTCTTAGTCTAGCATGAAAGGAAGAAACCCCGTTTGCAACGAAGGCCTCAAAGAGGTCCAAATATCCACTTGCAGACATAACAAGCAGAGTGTTTCTAAACTGCTCTAAGAAAAGAAAGGTTAAACTCTGTGAGTTGAAGGCACACATCACAAAGTAGTTTCTGAGAATGATTCTGTCTAGTTTTTATTTGAAGATATTTCCTTTTCTACTGTTGGCATCAAATCGCTTGAAATCTCCACTTGCAAACTCCACAAATAGAGTGTTTCAAATCTGCTCTGTGTAAAGGGACGTTCCACTCTGTGAGTTGAATACACACAGCACAAAGAAGTTACTGAGAATTCTTCTGTCTAGCATGAAATGAAGAAATCCCGTTTCCAACGAAGGCCTCAATGCGGTCCATATATCCACTTGCAGACTTTACAAACAGAGTGTTTCCAAACTGCTCTATGAAAAGAAAGGTTAAACTATGTGAGTTGAACGCACACATCACAAAGAATTTTCTGAGAATGATTCTGTCTGGTTTTTATTTGAAGATATTTCCCTTTCTACTGTTGGCATCAAATGGCTAGAAATCTCCACTTGCAAATTCCGCAAAAAGAGTGTTTCAAATCTGCTCTGTCTAAAGGGACGTTCCACTCTGTGAGTTGAATGCACACAACACAAAGAATTTACTGAGAATTCTTCCGTCTAGCATTCAATGAAGAAATCCCGTTTCCAACGAAGGCCTCAAAGAGGTCCATATATCCACTTGCAGACTTTACAAACAGTGTGTTTCCAAACTCCTCTATGAAAAGAAAGGTTAAACTCTGTGAGTGGAACGCACACATCACAAAGCACTTTCTGAGAATGATTCTGTCTGGTTATTATACGAAGATATTTCCTTTTCTGCAATTGTCCTCAAATCGCTTGAAATCTCCACCTGAAAATGCCACAGCAAGAGTGTTTCAAATCTGCTCTCTCTAAAGCAAGGTTCAACTCTGTGAGTTGAATACACACAACACAAAAAAGTTACTGAGAACTCTTCTTAGTCTAGCATGAAAGGAAGAAACCCCGTTTGCAACGAAGGCCTCAAAGAGGTCCAAATATCCACTTGCAGACATAACAAGCAGAGTGTTTCTAAACTGCTCTAAGAAAAGAAAGGTTAAACTCTGTGAGTTGAAGGCACACATCACAAAGTAGTTTCTGAGAATGATTCTGTCTAGTTTTTATTTGAAGATATTTCCTTTTCTACTGTTGGCATCAAATCGCTTGAAATCTTCACTTGCAAACTCCACAAAAAGAGTGTTTCAAATCTGCTCTGTGTAAAGGGACGTTCCACTCTGTGAGTTGAATACACACAGCACAAAGAAGTTGCTGAGAATTACTCTGTCTAGCATGAAATGAAGAAATCCCGTGTCCAACGAAGGCCTCAATGCGGTCCATATATCCACTTGCAGACTTTACAAACAGAGTGTTTCCAAACTGCTCTATGAAAAGAAAGGTTAAACTATGTGAGTTGAACGCACACATCACAAAGAATTTTCTGAGAATGATTCTGTCTGGTTTTTATTTGAAGATATTTCCCTTTCTACTGTTGGCATCAAATGGCTAGAAATCTCCACTTGCAAATTCCGCAAAAAGAGTGTTTCAAATCTGCTCTGTCTAAAGGGACGTTCCACTCTGTGAGTTGAATGCACACAACACAAAGAATTTACTGAGAATTCTTCCGTCTAGCATTCAATGAAGAAATCCCGTTTCCAACGAAGGCCTCAAACAGGTCCATATATCCACTTGCAGACTTTACAAACAGTGTGTTTCCAAACTCCTCTATGAAAAGAAAGGTTAAACTCTGTGAGTTGAACGCACACATCACAAAGCACTTTCTGAGAATGATTCTGTCTGGTTATTATACGAAGATATTTCCTTTTCTGCAATTGTCCTCAAATCGCTTGAAATCTCCACCTGAAAATGCCACAGCAAGAGTGTTTCAAATTTGCTCTCTCTAAAGCAAGGTTCAACTCTGTGAGTTGAATACACACAACACAAAAAAGTTACTGAGAACTCTTCTTAGTCTAGCATGAAAGGAAGAAACCCCGTTTGCAACGAAGGCCTCAAAGAGGTCCAAATATCCACTTGCAGACATAACAAGCAGAGTGTTTCTAAACTGCTCTAAGAAAAGAAAGGTTAAACTCTGTGAGTTGAAGGCACACATCACAAAGTAGTTTCTGAGAATGATTCTGTCTAGTTTTTATTTGAAGATATTTCCTTTTCTACTGTTGGCATCAAATCGCTTGAAATCTCCACTTGCAAACTCCACAAAAAGAGTGTTTCAAATCTGCTCTGTGTAAAGGGACGTTCCACTCTGTGAGTTGAATACACACAGCACAAAGAAGTTACTGAGAATTCTTCTGTCTAGCATGAAATGAAGAAATCCCGTTTCCAACGAAGGCCTCAATGCGGTCCATATATCCACTTGCAGACTTTACAAACAGAGTGTTTCCAAACTGCTCTATGAAAAGAAAGGTTAAACTATGTGAGTTGAACGCACACATCACAAAGAATTTTCTGAGAATGATTCTGTCTGGTTTTTATTTGAAGATATTTCCCTTTCTACTGTTGGCATCAAATGGCTAGTAAATCTCCACTTGCAAATTCCGCAAAAAGAGTGTTTCAAATCTGCTCTGTCTAAAGGGACGTTCCACTCTGTGAGTTGAATGCACACCACACAAAGAATTTACTGAGAATTCTTCCGTCTAGCATTCAATGAAGAAATCCCGTTTCCAACGAAGGCCTCAAACAGGTCCATATATCCACTTGCAGACTTTACAAACAGTGTGTTTCCAAACTCCTCTATGAAAAGAAAGGTTAAACTCTGTGAGTGGAACGCACACATCACAAAGCACTTTCTGAGAATGATTCTGTCTGGTTGTTATACGAAGATATTTCCTTTTCTGCAATTGTCCTCAAATCGCTTGAAATCTCCACCTGAAAATGCCACAGCAAGAGTGTTTCAAATCTGCGCTCTCTAAAGCAAGGTTCAGCTCTGTGAGTTGAATACACACAACACAAAAAAGTTACTGAGAACTCTTCTTAGTCTAGCATGAAAGGAAGAAACCCCGTTTGCAACGAAGGCCTCAAAGAGGTCCAAATATCCACTTGCAGACATAACAAGCAGAGTGTTTCTAAACTGCTCTAAGAAAAGAAAGGTTAAACTCTGTGAGTTGAAGGCACACATCACAAAGTAGTTTCTGAGAATGATTCTGTCTAGTTTTTATTTGAAGATATTTCCTTTTCTACTGTTGGCATCAAATCGCTTGAAATCTCCACTTGCAAACTCCACAAAAAGAGTGTTTCAAATCTGCTCTGTGCAAAGGGACGTTCCACTCTGTGAGTTGAATACACACAGCACAAAGAAGTTACTGAGAATTCTTCTGTCTAGCATGAAATGAAGAAATCCCGTTTCCAACGAAGGCCTCAATGCGGTCCATATATCCACTTGCAGACTTTACAAACAGAGTGTTTCCAAACTGCTCTATGAAAAGAAAGGTTAAACTATGTGAGTTGAACGCACACATCACAAAGAATTTTCTGAGAATGATTCTGTCTGGTTTTTATTTGAAGATATTTCCCTTTCTACTGTTGGCATCAAATGGCTAGAAATCTCCACTTGCAAATTCCGCAAAAAGAGTGTTTCAAATCTGCTCTGTCTAAAGGGACGTTCCACTCTGTGAGTTGAATGCACACCACACAAAGAATTTACTGAGAATTCTTCCGTCTAGCATTCAATGAAGAAATCCCGTTTCCAACGAAGGCCTCAAACAGGTCCATATATCCAATTGCAGACTTTACAAACAGTGTGTTTCCAAACTCCTCTATGAAAAGAAAGGTTAAACTCTGTGAGTTGAACGCACACATCACAAAGCACTTTCTGAGAATGATTCTGTCTGGTTGTTATACGAAGATATTTCCTTTTCTGCAATTGTCCTCAAATCGCTTGAAATCTCCACCTGAAAATGCCACAGCAAGAGTGTTTCAAATCTGCTCTCTCTAAAGCAAGGTTCAACTCTGTGAGTTGAATACACACAACACAAAAAAGTTACTGAGAACTCTTCTTAGTCTAGCATGAAAGGAAGAAACCCCGTTTGCAACGAAGGCCTCAAAGAAGGTCCAAATATCCACTTGCAGACATAACAAGCAGAGTGTTTCTAAACTGCTCTAAGAAAAGAAAGGTTAAACTCTGTGAGTTGAAGGCAGACATCACAAAGTAGTTTCTGAGAATGATTCTGTCTAGTTTTTATTTGAAGATATTTCCTTTTCTACTGTTGGCATCAAATCGCTTGAATTCTCCACTTGCAAACTCCACAAAAAGAGTGTTTCAAATCTGCTCTGTGTAAAGGGACGTTCCACTCTGTGAGTTGAATACACACAGCACAAAGAAGTTACTGAGAATTCTTCTGTCTAGCATGAAATGAAGAAATCCCGTTTCCAACGAAGGCCTCAAAGCGGTCCATATATCCACTTGCAGACATTACCAACAGAGTGTTCCCAAACTGCTCTATGAAAAGAAAGGTTAAACTATGTGAGTTGAACGCACACATCACAAAGAATTTTCTGAGAATGATTCTGTCTGGTTTTTATTTGAAGATATTTCCCTTTCTACTGTTGGCCATCAAATGGCTAGAAATCTCCACTTGCAAATTCCGCAAAAAGAGTGTTTCAAATCTGCTCTGTCTAAAGGGACGTTCCACTCTGTGAGTTGAATGCACACAACACAAAGAATTTACTGAGAATTCTTCCGTCTAGCATTCAATGAAGAAATCCCGTTTCCAAAGAAGGCCTCAAACAGGTCCATATATCCAATTGCAGACTTTACAAACACTGTGTTTCCAAACTCCTCTATGAAAAGAAAGGTTAAACTCTGTGAGTTGAACGCACACATCACAAAGCACTTTCTGAGAATGATTCTGTCTGGTTGTTATACGAAGATATTTCCTTTTCTGCAATTGTCCTCAAATCGCTTGAAATCTCCACCTGAAAATGCCACAGCAAGAGTGTTTCAAATCTGCTCTCTCTAAAGCAAGGTTCAGCTCTGTGAGTTGAATACACACAACACAAAAAAGTTACTGAGAACTCTTCTTAGTCTAGCATTAAAGGAAGAAACCCCGTTTGCAACGAAGGCCTCAAAGAGGTCCAAATATCCACTTGCAGACATAACAAGCAGAGTGTTTCTAAACTGCTCTAAGAAAAGAAAGGTTAAACTCTGTGAGTTGAAGGCACACATCACAAAGTAGTTTCTGAGAATGATTCTGTCTAGTTTTTATTTGAAGATATTTCCTTTTCTACTGTTGGCATCAAATCGCTTGAAATCTCCACTTGCTAACTCCACAAAAAGAGTGTTTCAAATCTGCTCTGTGCAAAGGGACGTTCCACTCTGTGAGTTGAATACACACAGCACAAAGAAGTTACTGAGAATTCTTCTGTCTAGCATGAAATGAAGAAATCCCGTTTCCAACGAAGGCCTCAATGCGGTCCATATATCCACTTGCAGACTTTACAAACAGAGTGTTTCCAAACTGCTCTATGAAAAGAAAGGTTAAACTATGTGAGTTGAACGCACACATCACAAAGAATTTTCTGAGAATGATTCTGTCTGGTTTTTATTTGAAGATATTTCCCTTTCTACTGTTGGCATCAAATGGCTAGAAATCTCCACTTGCAAATTCCGCAAAAAGAGTGTTTCAAATCTGCTCTGTCTAAAGGGATGTTCCACTCTGTGAGTTGAATGCACACAACACAAAGAATTTACTGAGAATTCTTCCGTCTAGCATTCAATGAAGAAATCCCGTTTCCAACGAAGGCCTCAAACAGGTCCATATATCCACTTGCAGACTTTACAAATAGTGTGTTTCCAAACTCCTCTATGAAAAGAAAGGTTAAACTCTGTGAGTTGAACGCACACATCACAAAGCACTTCCTGAGAATGATTCTGTCTGGTTATTATACGAAGATATTTCCTTTTCTGCAATTGTCCTCAAATCGCTTGAAATCTCCACCTGAAAATGCCACAGCAAGAGTGTTTCAAATCTGCTCTCTCTAAAGCAAGGTTCAACTCTGTGAGTTGAATACACACAACACAAAAAAGTTACTGAGAACTCTTCTTAGTCTAGCATGAAAGGAAGAAACCCCGTTTGCAACGAAGGCCTCAAAGAGGTCCAAATATCCACTTGCAGACATAACAAGCAGAGTGTTTCTAAACTGCTCTAAGAAAAGAAAGGTTAAACTCTGTGAGTTGAAGGCACACATCACAAAGTAGTTTCTGAGAATGATTCTGTCTAGTTTTTATTTGAAGATATTTCCTTTTCTACTGTTGGCATCAAATCGCTTGAAATCTCCACTTGCTAACTCCACAAAAAGAGTGTTTCAAATCTGCTCTGTGCAAAGGGACGTTCCACTCTGTGAGTTGAATACACACAGCACAAAGAAGTTACTGAGAATTCTTCTGTCTAGCATGAAATGAAGAAATCCCGTTTCCAACGAAGGCCTCAATGCGGTCCATATATCCACTTGCAGACTTTACAAACAGAGTGTTTCCAAACTGCTCTATGAAAAGAAAGGTTAAACTATGTGAGTTGAACGCACACATCACAAAGAATTTTCTGAGAATGATTCTGTCTGGTTTTTATTTGAAGATATTTCCCTTTCTACTGTTGGCATCAAATGGCTAGAAATCTCCACTTGCAAATTCCGCAAAAAGAGTGTTTCAAATCTGCTCTGTCTAAAGGGACGTTCCACTCTGTGAGTTGAATGCACACAACACAAAGAATTTACTGAGAATTCTTCCGTCTAGCATTCAATGAAGAAATCCCGTTTCCAACGAAGGCCTCAAACAGGTCCATATATCCACTTGCAGACTTTACAAACAGTGTGTTTCCAAACTCCTCTATGAAAAGAAAGGTTAAACTCTGTGAGTGGAACGCACACATCACAAAGCACTTTCTGAGAATGATTCTGTCTGGTTGTTATACGAAGATATTTCCTTTTCTGCAATTGTCCTCAAATCGCTTGAAATCTCCACCTGAAAATGCCACAGCAAGAGTGTTTCAAATCTGCTCTCTCTAAAGCAAGGTTCAACTCTGTGAGTTGAATACACACAACACAAAAAAGTTACTGAGAACTCTTCTTAGTCTAGCATTAAAGGAAGAAACCCCGTTTGCAACGAAGGCCTCAAAGAGGTCCAAATATCCACTTGCAGACATAACAAGCAGAGTGTTTCTAAACTGCTCTAAGAAAAGAAAGGTTAAACTCTGTGAGTTGAAGGCACACATCACAAAGTAGTTTCTGAGAATGATTCTGTCCAGTTTTTATTTGAAGATATTTCCTTTTCTACTGTTGGCATCAAATCGCTTGAAATCTCCACTTGCAAACTCCACAAAAAGAGTGTTTCAAATCTGCTCTGTGTAAAGGGACGTTCCACTCTGTGAGTTGAATACACACAGCACAAAGAAGTTACTGAGAATTCTTCTGTCTAGCATGAAATGAAGAAATCCCGTTTCCAACGAAGGCCTCAATGCGGTCCATATATCCACTTGCAGACTTTACAAACAGAGTGTTTCCAAACTGCTCTATGAAAAGAAAGGTTAAACTATGTGAGTTGAACGCACACATCACAAAGAATTTTCTGAGAATGATTCTGTCTGGTTTTTATTTGAAGATATTTCCCTTTCTACTGTTGGCATCAAATGGCTAGAAATCTCCACTTGCAAATTCCGCAAAAAGAGTGTTTCAAATCTGCTCTGTCTAAAGGGACGTTCCACTCTGTGAGTTGAATGCACACAACACAAAGAATTTACTGAGAATTCTTCCGTCTAGCATTCAATGAAGAAATCCCGTTTCCAACGAAGGCCTCAAACAGGTCCATATATCCACTTGCAGACTTTACAAACAGTGTGTTTCCAAACTCCTCTATGAAAAGAAAGGTTAAACTCTGTGAGTTGAACGCACACATCACAAAGCACTTTCTGAGAATGATTCTGTCTGGTTATTATACGAAGATATTTCCTTTTCTGCAATTGTCCTCAAATCGCTTGAAATCTCCACCTGAAAATGCCACAGCAAGAGTGTTTCAAATCTGCTCTCTCTAAAGCAAGGTTCAACTCTGTGAGTTGAATACACACAACACAAAAAAGTTACTGAGAACTCTTCTTAGTCTAGCATGAAAGGAAGAAACCCCGTTTGCAACGAAGGCCTCAAAGAGGTCCAAATATCCACTTGCAGACATAACAAGCAGAGTGTTTCTAAACTGCTCTAAGAAAAGAAAGGTTAAACTCTGTGAGTTGAAGGCACACATCACAAAGTAGTTTCTGAGAATGATTCCTGTCTAGTTTTTATTTGAAGATATTTCCTTTTCTACTGTTGGCATCAAATCGCTTGAAATCTCCAATTGCAAACTCCACAAAAAGAGTGTTTCAAATCTGCTCTGTGCAAAGGGACGTTCCACTCTGTGAGTTGAATACACACAGCACAAAGAAGTTACTGAGAATTCTTCTGTCTAGCATGAAATGAAGAAATCCCGTTTCCAACGAAGGCCTCAATGCGGTCCATATATCCACTTGCAGACTTTACAAACAGAGTGTTTCCAAACTGCTCTATGAAAAGAAAGGTTAAACTATGTGAGTTGAACGCACACATCACAAAGAATTTTCTGAGAATGATTCTGTCTGGTTTTTATTTGAAGATATTTCCCTTTCTACTGTTGGCATCAAACGGCTAGAAATCTCCACTTGCAAATTCCGCAAAAAGAGTGTTTCAAATCTGCTCTGTCTAAAGGGACGTTCCACTCTGTGAGTTGAATGCACACAACACAAAGAATTTACTGAGAATTCTTCCGTCTAGCATTCAATGAAGAAATCCCGTTTCCAACGAAGGCCTCAAAGAGGTCCATATATCCACTTGCAGAGTTTACAAACAGTGTGTTTCCAAACTCCTCTATGAAAAGAAAGGTTAAACTCTGTGAGTGGAACGCACACATCACAAAGCACTTTCTGAGAATGATTCTGTCTGGTTATTATACGAAGATATTTCCTTTTCTGCAATTGTCCTCAAATCGCTTGAAATCTCCACCTGAAAATGCCACAGCAAGAGTGTTTCAAATCTGCTCTCTCTAAAGCAAGGTTCAACTCTGTGATTTGAATACACACAACACAGAAAAGTTACTGAGAACTCTTCTTAGTCTAGCATGAAAGGAAGAAACCCCGTTTGCAACGAAGGCCTCAAAGAGGTCCAAATATCCACTTGCAGACATAACAAGCAGAGTGTTTCTAAACTGCTCTAAGAAAAGAAAGGTTAAACTCTGTGAGTTGAAGGCACACATCACAAAGTAGTTTCTGAGAATGATTCTGTCTAGTTTTTGTTTGCAGATATTTCCTTTTCTACTGTTGGCATCAAATCGCTTGAAATCTCCACTTGCAAACTCCACAAAAAGAGTGTTTCAAATCTGCTCTGTGTAAAGGGACGTTCCAATCTGTGAGTTGAATACACACAACACAAAGTAGTTACTGAGAATTCTTCTGTCTAGCATGAAATGAAGAAATCCCGTTTCCAACGAAGGCCTCAATGCGGTCCATATATCCACTTGCAGACTTTACAAACAGAGTGTTTCCAAACTGCTCTATGAAAAGAAAGGTTAAACTATGTGAGTTGAACGCACACATCACAAAGAATTTTCTGAGAATGATTCTGTCTGGTTTTTATTTGAAGATATTTCCCTTTCTACTGTTGGCATCAAATGGCTAGAAATCTCCACTTGCAAATTCCGCAAAAAGAGTGTTTCAAATCTGCTCTGTCTAAAGGGACGTTCCACTCTGTGAGTTGAATGCACACAACACAAAGAATTTACTGAGAATTCTTCCGTCTAGCATTCAATGAAGAAATCCCGTTTCCAACGAAGGCCTCAAAGAGGTCCATATATCCACTTGCAGACTTTACAAACAGAGTGTTTCCAAACTGCTCTATGAAAAGAAAGGTTAAACTATGTGAGTTGAACGCACACATCACAAAGAATTTTCTGAGAATGATTCTGTCTGGTTTTTATTTGAAGATATTTCCCTTTCTACTGTTGGCATCAAATGGCTAGAAATCTCCACTTGCAAATTCCGCAAAAAGAGTGTTTCAAATCTGCTCTGTCTAAAGGGACGTTCCACTCTGTGAGTTGAATGCACACAACACAAAGAATTTACTGAGAATTCTTCCGTCTAGCATTCAATGAAGAAATCCCGTTTCCAACGAAGGCCTCAAACAGGTCCATATATCCAATTGCAGACTTTACAAACAGTGTGTTTCCAAACTCCTCTATGAAAAGAAAGGTTAAACTCTGTGAGTTGAACGCACACATCACAAAGCACTTTCTGAGAATGATTCTGTCTGGTTTTTATACGAAGATATTTCCTTTTCTGCAATTGTCCTCAAATCGCTTGAAATCTCCACCTGAAAATTCCACAGCAAGAGTGATTCAAATCTGCTCTCTCTAAAGCAAGGTTCAATTCTGTGAGTTGAATACACACAACACAAATAAGTTACTGAGAACTCTTCTTAGTCTAGCATTAAAGGAAGAAACCCCGTTTGCAACGAAGGCGTCAAAGAGGTCCAAATATCAACTTGCAGACATAACAAGCAGAGTGTTTCTAAGCTGCTCTAAGAAAAGAAAGGTTAAACTCTGTGACTTGAAGGCACACATCGCAAAGTAGTTTCTGAGAATGATTCTGTCTAGTTTTTATTTGAAGATATTTCCTTTTCTACTGTTGGCATCAAATCGCTTGAAATCTCCACTTGCAAACTCCACAAAAAGAGTGTTTCAAATCTGCTCTGTGCAAAGGGACGTTCCACTCTGTGAGTTGAATACACACAGCACAAAGAAGTTACTGAGAATTCTTCTGTCTAGCATGAAATGAAGAAATCCCGTTTCCAACGAAGGCCTCAATGCGGTCCATATATCCACTTGCAGAGTTTACAAACAGTGTGTTTCCAAACTCCTCTATGAAAAGAAAGGTTAAACTCTGTGAGTGGAACGCACACATCACAAAGCACTTTCTGAGAATGATTCTGTCTGGTTTTTATTTGAAGATGTTTCCCTTTCTACTGTTGGCATCAAATGGCTAGAAATCTCCACTTGCAAATTCCGCAAAAAGAGTGTTTCAAATCTGCTCTGTCTAAAGGGACGTTCCACTCTGTGAGTTGAATGCACACAACACAAAGAATTTACTGAGAATTCTTCCGTCTAGCATTCAATGAAGAAATCCCGTTTCCAACGAAGGCCTCGAACAGGTCCATATATCCACTTGCAGACTTTACAAACAGTGTGTTTCCAAACTCCTCTATGAAAAGAAAGCTTAAACTCTGTGAGTTGAACGCACACATCACAAAGCACTTTCTGAGAATGATTCTGTCTGGTTATTATACGAAGATATTTCCTTTTCTGCAATTGTCCTCAAATCGCTTGAAATCTCCACCTGAAAATGCCACAGCAAGAGTGTTTCAAATCTGCTCTCTCTAAAGCAAGGTTCAACTCTGTGAGTTGAATACACACAACACAAAAAAGTTACTGAGAACTCTTCTTAGTCTAGCATGAAAGGAAGAAACCCCGTTTGCAACGAAGGCCTCAAAGAGGTCCAAATATCCACTTGCAGACATAACAAGCAGAGTGTTTCTAAACTGCTCTAAGAAAAGAAAGGTTAAACTCTGTGAGTTGAAGGCACACATCACAAAGTAGTTTCTGAGAATGATTCTGTCTAGTTTTTATTTGAAGATATTTCCTTTTCTACTGTTGGCATCAAATCGCTTGAAATCTCCACTTGCAAACTCCACAAAAAGAGTGTTTCAAATCTGCTCTGTGTAAAGGGACGTTCCACTCTGTGAGTTGAATACACACAGCACAAAGAAGTTACTGAGAATTCTTCTGTCTAGCATGAAATGAAGAAATCCCGTTTCCAACGAAGGCCTCAATGCGGTCCATATATCCACTTGCAGACTTTACAAACAGAGTGTTTCCAAACTGCTCTATGAAAAGAAAGGTTAAACTATGTGAGTTGAACGCACACATCACAAAGAATTTTCTGAGAATGATTCTGTCTGGTTTTTATTTGAAGATATTTCCCTTTCTACTGTTGGCATCAAATGGCTAGAAATCTCCACTTGCAAATTCCGCAAAAAGAGTGTTTCAAATCTGCTCTGTCTAAAGGGACGTTCCACTCTGTGAGTTGAATGCACACAACACAAAGAATTTACTGAGAATTCTTCCGTCTAGCATTCAATGAAGAAATCCCGTTTCCAACGAAGGCCTCAAACAGGTCCATATATCCACTTGCAGAGTTTACAAACAGTGTGTTTCCAAACTCCTCTATGAAAAGAAAGGTTAAACTCTGTGAGTGGAACGCACACATCACAAAGCACTTTCTGAGAATGATTCTGTCTGGTTATTATACGAAGATATTTCCTTTTCTGCAATTGTCCTCAAAACGCTTGAAATCTCCACCTGAAAATGCCACAGCAAGAGTGTTTCAAATCTGCTCTCTCTAAAGCAAGGTTCAACTCTGTGAGTTGAATATACACAACACAGAAAAGTTACTGAGAACTCTTCTTAGTCTAGCATGAAAGGAAGAAACCCCGTTTGCAACGAAGGCCTCAAAGAGGTCCAAATATCCACTTGCAGACATAACAAGCAGAGTGTTTCTAAACTGCTCTAAGAAAAGAAAGGTTAAACTCTGTGAGTTGAAGGCACACATCACAAAGTAGTTTCTGAGAATGATTCTGTCTAGTTTTTATTTGAAGATATTTCCTTTTCTACTGTTGGCATCAAATCGCTTGAAATCTCCACTTGCAAATTCCACAAAAAGAGTGTTTCAAATCTGCTCTGTGTAAAGGGACGTTCCACTCTGTGAGTTGAATACACACAGCACAAAGAAGTTACTGAGAATTCTTCTGTCTAGCATGAAATGAAGAAATCCCGTTTCCAACGAAGGCCTCAATGCGGTCCATATATCCACTTGCAGACTTTACAAACAGAGTGTTTCCAAACTGCTCTATGAAAAGAAAGGTTAAACTATGTGAGTTGAACGCACACATCACAAAGAATTTTCTGAGAATGATTCTGTCTGGTTTTTATTTGAAGATATTTCCCTTTCTACTGTTGGCATCAAATGGCTAGAAATCTCCACTTGCAAATTCCGCAAAAAGAGTGTTTCAAATCTGCTCTGTCTAAAGGGACGTTCCACTCTGTGAGTTGAATGCACACAACACAAAGAATTTACTGAGAATTCTTCCGTCTAGCATTCAATGAAGAAATCCCGTTTCCAACGAAGGCCTCAAACAGGTCCATATATCCACTTGCAGAGTTTACAAACAGTGTGTTTCCAAACTCCTCTATGAAAAGAAAGGTTAAACTCTGTGAGTGGAACGCACACATCACAAAGCACTTTCTGAGAATGATTTCTGTCTGGTTATTATACGAAGTATATTTCCTTTTCTGCAATTGTCCTCAAATCGCTTGAAATCTCCACCTGAAAATTCCACAGCAAGAGTGTTTCAAATCTGCTCTCTCTAAAGCAAGGTTCAACTCTGTGAGTTGAATACACACAACACAAAAAAGTTGCTGAGAACTCTTCTTAGTCTAGCATTAAAGGAAGAAACCCCGTTTGCAACGAAGGCCTCAAAGAGGTCCAAATATCCACTTGCAGACATAACAAGCAGAGTGTTTCTAAACTGCTCTAAGAAAAGAAAGGTTAAACTCTGTGAGTTGAAGGCACACATCACAAAGTAGTTTCTAAATGATTCTCTGTCTAGTTTTTATTTGAAGATATTTCCTTTTCTACTGTTGGCATCAAATCGCTTGAAATTTCCACTTGCAAATTCCACAAAAAGAGTGTTTCAAATCTGCTCTGTGCAAAGGGACGTTCCACTCTGTGAGTTGAATACACACAGCACAAAGGAGTTACTGAGAATTCTTCTGTCTAGCATGAAATGAAGAAATCCCGTTTCCAACGAAGGCCTCAATGCGGTCCATATATCCACTTGCAGACTTTACAAACAGAGTGTTTCCAAACTGCTCTATGAAAAGAAAGGTTAAACTATGTGAGTTGAACGCACACATCACAAAGAATTTTCTGAGAATGATTCTGTCTGGTTTTTATTTGAAGATATTTCCCTTTCTACTCTTGGCATCAAATGGCTAGAAATCTCCACTTGCAAATTCCGCAAAAAGAGTGTTTCAAATCTGCTCTGTCTAAAGGGACGTTCCACTCTGTGAGTTGAATGCACACAACACAAAGAATTTACTGAGAATTCTTCCGTCTAGCATTCAATGAAGAAATCCCGTTTCCAACGAAGGCCTCAAACAGGTCCATATATCCACTTGCAGACTTTACAAACAGTGTGTTTCCAAACTCCTCTATGAAAAGAAAGGTTAAACTCTGTGAGTTGAACGCACACATCACAAAGCACTTCCTGAGAATGATTCTGTCTGGTTATTATACGAAGATATTTCCTTTTCTGCAATTGTCCTCAAATCGCTTGAAATCTCCACCTGAAAATGCCACAGCAAGAGTGTTTCAAATCTGCTCTCTCTAAAGCAAGGTTCAACTCTGTGAGTTGAATACACACAACACAAAAAAGTTACTGAGAACTCTTCTTAGTCTAGCATTAAAGGAAGAAACCCCGTTTGCAACGAAGGCCTCAAAGAGGTCCAAATATCCACTTGCAGACATAACAAGCAGAGTGTTTCTAAACTGCTCTAAGAAACGAAAGGTTAAACTCTGAGTTGAAGGCACACATCACAAAGTAGTTTCTGAGAATGATTCTGTCTAGTTTTTATTTGAAGATATTTCCTTTTCTACTGTTGGCATCAAATCGCTTGAAATCTCCACTTGCAAACTCCACAAAAAGAGTGTTTCAAATCTGCTCTGTGTAAAGGGACGTTCCACTCTGTGAGTTGAATACACACAGCACAAAGAAGTTACTGAGAATTCTTCTGTCTAGCATGAAATGAAGAAATCCCGTTTCCAACGAAGGCCTCAATGCGGTCCATATATCCACTTGCAGACTTTACAAACAGAGTGTTTCCAAACTGCTCTATGAAAAGAAAGGTTAAACTATGTGAGTTGAACACACACATCACAAAGAATTTTCTGAGAATGATTCTGTCTGGTTTTTATTTGAAGATATTTCCCTTTCTACTGTTGGCATCAAATGGCTAGAAATCTCCACTTGCAAATTCCGCAAAAAGAGTGTTTCAAATCTGCTCTGTCTAAAGGGACGTTCCACTCTGTGAGTTGAATGCACACAACACAAAGAATTTACTGAGAATTCTTCCGTCTAGCATTCAATGAAGAAATCCCGTTTCCAACGAAGGCCTCAAACAGGTCCATATATCCACTTGCAGACTTTACAAACAGTGTGTTTCCAAACTCCTCTATGAAAAGAAAGGTTAAACTCTGTGAGTTGAACGCACACATCACAAAGCACTTTCTGAGAATGATTCTGTCTGGTTGTTATACGAAGATATTTCCTTTTCTGCAATTGTCCTCAAATCGCTTGAAATCTCCACCTGAAAATGCCACAGCAAGAGTGTTTCAAATCTGCTCTCTCTAAAGCAAGGTTCAACTCTGTGAGTTGAATACACACAACACAAAAAAGTTACTGAGAACTCTTCTTAGTCTAGCATGAAAGGAAGAAACCCCGTTTGCAACGAAGGCCTCAAAGAGGTCCAAATATCCACTTGCAGACATAACAAGCAGAGTGTTTCTAAAGTGCTCTAAGAAAAGAAAGGTTAAACTCTGTGAGTTGAAGGCACACATCACAAAGTAGTTTCTGAGAATGATTCTGTCTAGTTTTTATTTGAAGATATTTCCTTTTCTACTGTTGGCATCAAATCGCTTGAAATCTCCACTTGCAAACTCCACAAAAAGAGTGTTTCAAATCTGCTCTGTGCAAAGGGACGTTCCACTCTGTGAGTTGAATACACACAGCACAAAGAAGTTACTGAGAATTCTTCTGTCTAGCATGAAATGAAGAAATCCCGTTTCCAACGAAGGCCTCAATGCGGTCCATATATCCACTTGCAGACTTTACAAACAGAGTGTTTCCAAACTGCTCTATGAAAAGAAAGGTTAAACTATGTGAGTTGAACGCACACATCACAAAGAATTTTCTGAGAATGATTCTGTCTGGTTTTTATTTGAAGATATTTCCCTTTCTACTGTTGGCATCAAATGGCTAGAAATCTCCACTTGCAAATTCCGCAAAAAGAGTGTTTCAAATCTGCTCTGTCTAAAGGGACGTTCCACTCTCTGAGTTGAATGCACACAACACAAAGAATTTACTGAGAATTCTTCCGTCTAGCATTCAATGAAGAAATCCCGTTTCCAACGGAGGCCTCAAACAGGTCCATATATCCAATTGCAGACTTTACAAACAGTGTGTTTCCAAACTCCTCTATGAAAAGAAAGGTTAAACTCTGTGAGTTGAACGCACACATCACAAAGCACTTTCTGAGAATGATTCTGTCTGGTTATTATACGAAGATATTTCCTTTTCTGCAATTGTCCTCAAATCGCTTGAAATCTCCACCTGAAAATGCCACAGCAAGAGTGTTTCAAATCTGCTCTCTCTAAAGCAAGGTTCAACTCTGTGAGTTGAATACACACAACACAAAAAAGTTACTGAGAACTCTTCTTAGTCTAGCATGAAAGGAAGAAACGCCGTTTGCAACGAAGGCCTCAAAGAGGTCCAAATATCCACTTGCAGACATAACAAGCAGAGTGTTTCTAAACTGCTCTAAGAAAAGAAAGGTTAAACTCCTGTGAGTTGAAGGCACACATCACAAAGTAGTTTCTGAGAATGATTCTGTCTAGTTTTTATTTGAAGATATTTCCTTTTCTACTGTTGGCATCAAATCGCTTGAAATCTCCACTTGCAAATTCCACAAAAAGAGTGTTTCAAATCTGCTCTGTGCAAAGGGACGTTCCACTCTGTGAGTTGAATACACACAGCACAAAGAAGTTACTGAGAATTCTTCTGTCTAGCATGAAATGAAGAAATCCCGTTTCCAACGAAGGCCTCAATGCGGTCCATATATCCACTTGCAGACTTTACAAACAGAGTGTTTCCAAACTGCTCTATGAAAAGAAAGGTTAAACTATGTGAGTTGAACGCACACATCACAAAGAATTTTCTGAGAATGATTCTGTCTGGTTTTTATTTGAAGATATTTCCCTTTCTACTGTTGGCATCAAATGGCTAGAAATCTCCACTTGCAAATTCCGCAAAAAGAGTGTTTCAAATCTGCTCTGTCTAAAGGGACGTTCCACTCTGTGAGTTGAATGCACACAACACAAAGAATTTACTGAGAATTCTTCCGTCTAGCATTCAATGAAGAAATCCCGTTTCCAACGAAGGCCTCAAACAGGTCCATATATCCACTTGCAGAGTTTACAAACAGTGTGTTTCCAAACTCCTCTATGAAAAGAAAGGTTAAACTCTGTGAGTGGAACGCACACATCACAAAGCACTTTCTGAGAATGATTCTGTCTGGTTATTATACGAAGATATTTCCTTTTCTGCAATTGTCCTCAAATCGCTTGAAATCTCCACCTGAAAATGCCACAGCAAGAGTGTTTCAAATCTGCTCTCTCTAAAGCAAGGTTCAACTCTGTGAGTTGAATACACACAACACAAAAAAGTTACTGAGAACGCTTCTTAGTCTAGCATGAAAGGAAGAAACCCCGTTTGCAACGAAGGCCTCAAAGAGGTCCAAATATCCACTTGCAGACATAACAAGCAGAGTGTTTCTAAACTGCTCTAAGAAAAGAAAGGTTAAACTCTGTGAGTTGAAGGCACACATCACAAAGTAGTTTCTGAGAATGATTCTGTCTAGTTTTTATTTGAAGATATTTCCTTTTCTACTGTTGGCATCAAATCGCTTGAAATCTCCACTTGCAAATTCCACAAAAAGAGTGTTTCAAATCTGCTCTGTGTAAAGGGACGTTCCACTCTGTGAGTTGAATACACACAGCACAAAGAAGTTACTGAGAATTCTTCTGTCTAGCATGAAATGAAGAAATCCCGTTTCCAACGAAGGCCTCAATGCGGTCCATATATCCACTTGCAGACTTTACAAACAGAGTGTTTCCAAACTGCTCTATGAAAAGAAAGGTTAAACTATGTGAGTTGAACGCACACATCACAAAGAATTTTCTGAGAATGATTCTGTCTGGTTTTTATTTGAAGATATTTCCCTTTCTACTGTTGGCATCAAATGGCTAGAAATCTCCACTTGCAAATTCCGCAAAAAGAGTGTTTCAAATCTGCTCTGTCTAAAGGGACGTTCCACTCTGTCAGTTGAATGCACACAACACAAAGAATTTACTGAGAATTCTTCCGTCTAGCATTCAATGAAGAAATCCCGTTTCCAACGAAGGCCTCAAACAGGTCCATATATCCACTTGCAGAGTTTACAAACAGTGTGTTTCCAAACTCCTCTATGAAAAGAAAGGTTAAACTCTGTGAGTGGAACGCACACATCACAAAGCACTTTCTGAGAATGATTCTGTCTGGTTATTATACGAAGATATTTCCTTTTCTGCAATTGTCCTCAAATCGCTTGAAATCTCCACCTGAAAATGCCACAGCAAGAGTGTTTCAAATCTGTTCTCTCTAAAGCAAGGTTCAACTCTGTGAGTTGAATACACACAACACAAAAAAGTTACTGAGAACTCTTCTTAGTCTAGCATGAAAGGAAGAAACCCCGTTTGCAACGAAGGCCTCAAAGAGGTCCAAATATCCACTTGCAGACATAACAAGCAGAGTGTTTCTAAACTGCTCTAAGAAAAGAAAGGTTAAACTCTGTGAGTTGAAGGCACACATCACAAAGTAGTTTCTGAGAATGATTCTGTCTAGTTTTTATTTGAAGATATTTCCTTTTCTACTGTTGGCATCAAATCGCTTGAAATCTCCACTTGCAAACTGCACAAAAAGAGTGTTTCAAATCTGCTCTGTGCAAAGGGACGTTCCACTCTGTGAGTTGAATACACACAGCACAAAGAAGTTACTGAGAATTCTTCTGTCTAGCATGAAATGAAGAAATCCCGTTTCCAACGAAGGCCTCAATGCGGTCCATATATCCACTTGCAGACTTTACAAACAGAGTGTTTCCAAACTGCTCTATGAAAAGAAAGGTTAAACTATGTGAGTTGAACGCACACATCACAAAGAATTTTCTGAGAATGATTCTGTCTGGTTTTTATTTGAAGATATTTCCCTTTCTACTGTTGGCATCAAATGGCTAGAAATCTCCACTTGCAAATTCCGCAAAAAGAGTGTTTCAAATCTGCTCTGTCTAAAGGGACGTTCCACTCTGTGAGTTGAATGCACACAACACAAAGAATTTACTGAGAATTCTTCCGTCTAGCATTCAATGAAGAAATCCCGTTTCCAACGAAGGCCTCAAACAGGTCCATATATCCAATTGCAGACTTTACAAACAGTGTGTTTCCAAACTCCTCTACGAAAAGAAAGGTTAAACTCTGTGAGTTGAACGCACACATCACAAAGCACTTTCTGAGAATGATTCTGTCTGGTTATTATAAGAAGATATTTCCTTTTCTGCAATTGTCCTCAAATCGCTTGAAATCTCCACCTGAAAATGCCACAGCAAGAGTGTTTCAAATCTGCTCTCTCTAAAGCAAGGTTCAACTCTGTGAGTTGAATACACACAACACAAAAAAGTTACTGAGAACTCTTCTTAGTCTAGCATGAAAGGAAGAAACCCCGTTTGCAACGAAGGCCTCAAAGAGGTCCAAATATCCACTTGCAGACATAACAAGCAGAGTGTTTCTAAACTGCTGTAAGAAAAGAAAGGTTAAACTCTGTGAGTTGAAGGCACACATCACAAAGTAGTTTCTGAGAATGATTCTGTCTAGTTTTTATTTGAAGATATTTCCTTTTCTACTGTTGGCATCAAATCGCTTGAAATCTCCACTTGCAAACTCCACAAAAAGAGTGTTTCAAATCTGCTCTGTGCAAAGGGACGTTCCACTCTGTGAGTTGAATACACACAGCACAAAGAAGTTACTGAGAATTCTTCTGTCTAGCATGAAATGAAGAAATCCCGTTTCCAACGAAGGCCTCAATGCGGTCCATATATCCACTTGCAGACTTTACAAACAGAGTGTTTCCAAACTGCTCTATGAAAAGAAAGGTTAAACTATGTGAGTTGAACGCACACATCACAAAGAATTTTCTGAGAATGATTCTGTCTGGTTTTTATTTGAAGATATTTCCCTTTCTACTGTTGGCATCAAATGGCTAGAAATCTCCACTTGCAAATTCCGCAAAAAGAGTGTTTCAAATCTGCTCTGTCTAAAGGGACGTTCCACTCTGTGAGTTGAATGCACACAACACAAAGAATTTACTGAGAATTCTTCCGTCTAGCATTCAATGAAGAAATCCCGTTTCCAACGAAGGCCTCAAACAGGTCCATATATCCAATTGCAGACTTTACAAACAGTGTGTTTCCAAACTCCTCTATGAAAAGAAAGGTTAAACTCTGTGAGTTGAACGCACACATCACAAAGCACTTTCTGAGAATGATTCTGTCTGGTTATTATACGAAGATATTTCCTTTTCTGCAATTGTCCTCAAATCGCTTGAAATCTCCACCTGAAAATGCCACAGCAAGAGTGCTTCAAATCTGCTCTCTCTAAAGCAAGGTTCAACTCTGTGAGTTGAATACACACAACACAAAAAAGTTACTGAGAACTCTTCTTAGTCTAGCATTAAAGGAAGAAACCCCGTTTGCAATGAAGGCCTCAAAGAGGTCCAAATATCCACTTGCAGACATAACAAGCAGAGTGTTTCTAAACTGCTCTAAGAAAAGAAAGGTTAAACTCTGTGAGTTGAAGGCACACATCACAAAGTAGTTTCTGAGAATGATTCTGTCTAGTTTTTATTTGAAGATATTTCCTTTTCTACTGTTGGCATCAAATCGCTTGAAATCTCCACTTGCAAATTCCACAAAAAGAGTGTTTCAAATCTGCTCTGTGCAAAGGGACGTTCCACTCTGTGAGTTGAATACACACAGCACAAAGAAGTTACTGAGAATTCTTCTGTCTAGCATGAAATGAAGAAATCCCGTTTCCAACGAAGGCCTCAATGCGGTCCATATATCCACTTGCAGACTTTACAAACAGAGTGTTTCCAAACTGCTCTATGAAAAGAAAGGTTAAACTATGTGAGTTGAACGCACACATCACAAAGAATTTTCTGAGAATGATTCTGTCTGGTTTTTATTTGAAGATATTTCCCTTTCTACTGTTGGCATCAAATGGCTAGAAATCTCCACTTGCAAATTCCGCAAAAAGAGTGTTTCAAATCTGCTCTGTCTAAAGGGACGTTCCACTCTGTCAGTTGAATGCACACAACACAAAGAATTTACTGAGAATTCTTCCGTCTAGCATTCAATGAAGAAATCCCGTTTCCAACGAAGGCCTCAAACAGGTCCATATATCCAATTGCAGACTTTACAAACAGTGTGTTTCCAAACTCCTCTATGAAAAGAAAGGTTAAACTCTGTGAGTTGAACGCACACATCACAAAGCACTTTCTGAGAATGATTCTGTCTGGTTATTATACGAAGATATTTCCTTTTCTGCAATTGTCCTCAAATCGCTTGAAATCTCCACCTGAAAATGCCACAGCAAGAGTGTTTCAAATCTGCTCTCTCTAAAGCAAGGTTCAACTCTGTGAGTTGAATACACACAACACAAAAAAGTTACTGAGAACTCTTCTTAGTCTAGCATTAAAGGAAGAAACCCCGTTTGCAACGAAGGCCTCAAAGAGGTCCAAATATCCACTTGCAGACATAACAAGCAGAGTGTTTCTAAGCTGCTCTAAGAAAAGAAAGGTTAAACTCTGTGAGTTGAAGGCACACATCACAAAGTAGTTTCTGAGAATGATTCCTGTCTAGTTTTTATTTGAAGATATTTCCTTTTCTACTGTTGGCATCAAATCGCTTGAAATCTCCAATTGCAAACTCCACAAAAAGAGTGTTTCAAATCTGCTCTGTGCAAAGGGACGTTCCACTCTGTGAGTTGAATACACACAGCACAAAGAAGTTACTGAGAATTCTTCTGTCTAGCATGAAATGAAGAAATCCCGTTTCCAACGAAGGCCTCAATGCGGTCCATATATCCACTTGCAGACTTTACAAACAGAGTGTTTCCAAACTGCTCTATGAAAAGAAAGGTTAAACTATGTGAGTTGAACGCACACATCACAAAGAATTTTCTGAGAATGATTCTGTCTGGTTTTTATTTGAAGATATTTCCCTTTCTACTGTTGGCATCAAATGGCTAGAAATCTCCACTTGCAAATTCCGCAAAAAGAGTGTTTCAAATCTGCTCTGTCTAAAGGGACGTTCCACTCTGTGAGTTCAATGCACACAACACAAAGAATTTACTGAGAATTCTTCCGTCTAGCATTCAATGAAGAAATCCCGTTTCCAACGGAGGCCTCAAACAGGTCCATATATCCAATTGCAGACTTTACAAACAGTGTGTTTCCAAACTCCTCTATGAAAAGAAAGGTTAAACTCTGTGAGTTGAACGCACACAACCCAAAGCACTTTCTGAGAATGATTCTGTCTGGTAATTATACGAAGATATTTCCTTTTCTGCAATTGTCCTCAAATCGCTTGAAATCTCCACCTGAAAATTCCACAGCGAGAGTGTTTCAAATCTGCTCTCTCTAAAGCAAGGTTCAACTCTGTGAGTTGAATACACACAACACAAAAAAGTTACTGAGAACTCTTCTTAGTCTAGCATTAAAGGAAGAAACCCCGTTTGCAACGAAGGCCTCAAAGAGGTCCAAATATCCACTTGCAGACATAACAAGCAGAGTGTTTCTAAACTGCTCTAAGAAAAGAAAGGTTAAACTCTGTGAGTTAAAGGCACACATCACAAAGTAGTTTCTGAGAATGATTCTGTCTAGTTTTTATTTGAAGATATTTCCTTTTCTACTGTTGGCATCAAATCGCTTGAAATCTCCACTTGCAAACTCCACAAAAAGAGTGTTTCAAATCTGCTCTGTGCAAAGGGACGTTCCACTCTGTGAGTTGAATACACACAGCACAAAGAAGTTACTGAGAATTCTTCTGTCTAGCATGAAATGAAGAAATCCCGTTTCCAACGAAGGCCTCAATGCGGTCCATATATCCACTTGCAGAGTTTACAAACAGAGTGTTTCCAAACTGCTCTATGAAAAGAAAGGTTAAACTATGTGAGTTGAACGCACACATCACAAAGAATTTTCTGAGAATGATTCTGTCTGGTTTTTATTTGAAGATATTTCCCTTTCTACTGTTGGCATCAAATGGCTAGAAATCTCCACTTGCAAATTCCGCAAAAAGAGTGTTTCAAATCTGCTCTGTCTAAAGGGACGTTCCACTCTGTGAGTTGAATGCACATAACACAAAGAATTTACTGAGAATTCTTCCGTCTAGCATTCAATGAAGAAATCCCGTTTCCAACGAAGGCCTCAAACAGGTCCATATATCCAATTGCAGACTTTACAAACAGTGTGTTTCCAAACTCCTCTATGAAAAGAAAGGTTAAACTCTGTGAGTTGAACGCACACATCACAAAGCACTTTCTGAGAATGATTCTGTCTGGTTATTATACGAAGATATTTCCTTTTCTGCAATTGTCCTCAAATCGCTTGAAATCTCCACCGGAAAATGCCACAGCAAGAGTGTTTCAAATCTGCTCTCTCTAAAGCAAGGTTCAACTCTGTGAGTTGAATACACACAACACAAAAAAGTTACTGAGAACTCTTCTTAGTCTAGCATGAAAGGAAGAAACCCCGTTTGCAACGAAGGCCTCAAAGAGGTCCAAATATCCACTTGCAGTCATAACAAGCAGAGTGTTTCTAAACTGCTCTAAGAAAAGAAAGGTTAAACTCTGTGAGTTGAAGGCACACATCACAAAGTAGTTTCTGAGAATGATTCTGTCTAGTTTTTATTTGAAGATATTTCCTTTTCTACTGTTGGCATCAAATCGCTTGAAATCTCCACTTGCAAACTCCACAAAAAGAGTGTTTCAAATCTGCTCTGTGCAAAGGGACGTTCCACTCTGTGAGTTGAATACACACAGCACAAAGAAGTTACTGAGAATTCTTCTGTCTAGCATGAAATGAAGAAATCCCGTTTCCAACGAAGGCCTCAATGCGGTCCATATATCCACTTGCAGACTTTACAAACAGAGTGTTTCCAAACTGCTCTATGAAAAGAAAGGTTAAACTATGTGAGTTGAACGCACACATCACAAAGAATTTTCTGAGAATGATTCTGTCTGGTTTTTATTTGAAGATATTTCCCTTTCTACTGTTGGCATCAAATGGCTAGAAATCTCCACTTGCAAATTCCGCAAAAAGAGTGTTTCAAATCTGCTCTGTCTAAAGGGACGTTCCACTCTGTGAGTTGAATGCACACAACACAAAGAATTTACTGAGAATTCTTCCGTCTAGCATTCAATGAAGAAATCCCGTTTCCAACGAAGGCCTCAAACAGGTCCATATATCCACTTGCAGACTTTACAAACAGTGTGTTTCCAAACTCCTCTATGAAAAGAAAGGTTAAACTATGTGAGTTGAACGCACACATCACAAAGCACTTTCTGAGAATGATTCTGTCTGGTTATTATACGAAGATATTTCCTTTTCTGCAATTGTCCTCAAATCGCTTGAAATCTCCACCTGAAAATGCCACAGCAAGAGTGTTTCAAATCTGCTCTCTCTAAAGCAAGGTTCAACTCTGTGAGTTGAATACACACAACACAAAAAAGTTACTGAGAACTCTTCTTAGTCTAGCATGAAAGGAAGAAACCCCGTTTGCAACGAAGGCCTCAAAGAGGTCCAAATATCCACTTGCAGACATAACAAGCAGAGTGTTTCTAAACTGCTCTAAGAAAAGAAAGGTTAAACTCTGTGAGTTGAAGGCACACATCACAAAGTAGTTTCTGAGAATGATTCTGTCTAGTTTTTATTTGAAGATATTTCCTTTTCTACTGTTGGCATCAAATCGCTTGAAATCTCCACTTGCAAACTCCACAAAAAGAGTGTTTCAAATCTGCTCTGTGTAAAGGGACGTTCCACTCTGTGAGTTGAATACACACAGCACAAAGAAGTTACTGAGAATTCTTCTGTCTAGCATGAAATGAAGAAATCCCGTTTCCAACGAAGGCCTCAATGCGGTCCATATATCCACTTGCAGACTTTACAAACAGAGTGTTTCCAAACTGCTCTATGAAAAGAAAGGTTAAACTATGTGAGTTGAACGCACACATCACAAAGAATTTTCTGAGAATGATTCTGTCTGGTTTTTATTTGAAGATATTTCCCTTTCTACTGTTGGCATCAAATGGCTAGAAATCTCCACTTGCAAATTCCGCAAAAAGAGTGTTTCAAATCTGCTCTGTCTAAAGGGACGTTCCACTCTGTGAGTTGAATGCACACAACACAAAGAATTTACTGAGAATTCTTCCGTCTAGCATTCAATGAAGAAATCCCGTTTCCAACGAAGGCCTCAAACAGGTCCATATATCCAATTGCAGACTTTACAAACAGTGTGTTTCCAAACTCCTCTATGAAAAGAAAGGTTAAACTCTGTGAGTTGAACGCACACATCACAAAGCAATTTCTGAGAATGATTCTGTCTGGTTATTATACGAAGATATTTCCTTTTCTGCAATTGTCCTCAAATCGCTTGAAATCTCCACCTGAAAATGCCACAGCAAGAGTGTTTCAAATCTGCTCTCTCTAAAGCAAGGTTCAACTCTGTGATTTGAATACACACAACACAAAAAAGTTACTGAGAACTCTTCTTAGTCTAGCATGAAAGGAAGAAACCCCGTTTGCAACGAAGGCCTCAAAGAGGTCCAAATATCCACTTGCAGACATAACAAGCAGAGTGTTTCTAAACTGCTCTAAGAAAAGAAAGGTTAAACTCTGTGAGTTGAAGGCACACATCACAAAGTAGTTTTTGAGAATGATTCTGTCTAGTTTTTATTTGAAGATATTTCCTTTTCTACTGTTGGCATCAAATCGCTTGAAATCTTCACTTGCAAACTCCACAAAAAGAGTGTTTCAAATCCGCTCTGTGCAAAGGGACGTTCCACTCTGTGAGTTGAATACACACAGCACAAAGAAGTTACTGAGAATTCTTCTGTCTAGCATGAAATGAAGAAATCCCGTTTCCAACGAAGGCCTCAATGCGGTCCATATATCCACTTGCAGACTTTACAAACAGAGTGTTTCCAAACTGCTCCATGAAAGGAAAGGTTAAACTATGTGAGTTGAACGCACACATCACAAAGAATTTTCTGAGAATGATTCTCTCTGGTTTTTATTTGAAGATATTTCCCTTTCAACTGTTGGCATCAAATGGCTAGAAATCTCCACTTGCAAATTCCGCAAAAAGAGTGTTTCAAATCTGCTCTGTCTAAAGGGACGTTCCACTCTGTGAGTTGAATGCACACAACACAAAGAATTTACTGAGAATTCTTCTGCCTAGCATTCAATGAAGAAATCCCGTTTCCAACGAAGGCCTCAAACAGGTCCATATATCCAATTGCAGACTTTACAAACAGTGTGTTTCCAAACTCCTCTATGAAAAGAAAGGTTAAACTCTGTGAGTTGAACGCACACATCACAAAGCACTTTCTGAGAATGATTCTGTCTGGTTATTATACGAAGATATTTCCTTTTCTGCAATTGTCCTCAAATCGCTTGAAATCTCCACCTGAAAATGCCACAGCAAGAGTGTTTCAAATCTGCTCTCTCTAAAGCAAGGTTCAACTCTGTGAGTTGAATACACACAACACAAAAAAGTTACTGAGAACTCTTCTGAGTCTAGCATGAAAGGAAGAAACCCCGTTTGCAACGAAGGCCTCAAAGAGGTCCAAATATCCACTTGCAGACATAACAAGCAGAGTGTTTCTAAACTGCTCTAAGAAAAGAAAGGTTAAACTCTGTGAGTTGAAGGCACACATCACAAAGTAGTTTCTGAGAATGATTCTGTCTAGTTTTTATTTGAAGATATTTCCTTTTCTACTGTTGGCATCAAATCGCTTGAAATCTCCACTTGCAAACTCCACAAAAAGAGTGTTTCAAATCTGCTCTGTGCAAAGGGACGTTCCACTCTGTGAGTTGAATACACACAGCACAAAGAAGTTACTGAGAATTCTTCTGTCTAGCATGAAATGAAGAAATCCCGTTTCCAACGAAGGCCTCAATGCGGTCCATATATCCACTTGCAGACTTTACAAACAGAGTGTTTCCAAACTGCTCTATGAAAAGAAAGGTTAAACTATGTGAGTTGAACGCACACATCACAAAGAATTTTCTGAGAATGATTCTGTCTGGTTTTTATTTGAAGATATTTCCCTTTCTACTGTTGGCATCAAATGGCTAGAAATCTCCACTTGCAAATTCCGCAAAAAGAGTGTTTCAAATCTGCTCTGTCTAAAGGGACGTTCCACTCTGTGAGTTGAATGCACACAACACAAAGAATTTACTGAGAATTCTTCCGTCTAGCATTCAATGAAGAAATCCCGTTTCCAACGAAGGCCTCAAACAGGTCCATATATCCACTTGCAGACTTTACAAACAGTGTGTTTCCAAACTCCTCTATGAAAAGAAAGGTTAAACTCTGTGAGTGGAACGCACACATCACAAAGCACTTTCTGAGAATGATTCTGTCTGGTTGTTATACGAAGATATTTCCTTTTCTGCAATTGTCCTCAAATCGCTTGAAATCTCCACCTGAAAATGCCACAGCAAGAGTGTTTCAAATCTGCTCTCTCTAAAGCAAGGTTCAGCTCTGTGAGTTGAATACACACAACACAAAAAAGTTACTGAGAACTCTTCTTAGTCTAGCATGAAAGGAAGAAACCCCGTTTGCAACGAAGGCCTCAAAGAGGTCCAAATATCCACTTGCAGACATAACAAGCAGAGTGTTTCTAAACTGCTCTAAGAAAAGAAAGGTTAAACTCTGTGAGTTGAAGGCACACATCACAAAGTAGTTTCTGAGAATGATTCTGTCTAGTTTTTATTTGAAGATATTTCCTTTTCTACTGTTGGCATCAAATCGCTTGAAATCTCCACTTGCAAACTCCACAAAAAGAGTGTTTCAAATCTGCTCTGTGCAAAGGGACGTTCCACTCTGTGAGTTGAATACACACAGCACAAAGAAGTTACTGAGAATTCTTCTGTCTAGCATGAAATGAAGAAATCCCGTTTCCAACGAAGGCCTCAATGCGGTCCATATATCCACTTGCAGACTTTACAAACAGAGTGTTTCCAAACTGCTCTATGAAAAGAAAGGTTAAACTATGTGAGTTGAACGCACACATCACAAAGAATTTTCTGAGAATGATTCTGTCTGGTTTTTATTTGAAGATATTTCCCTTTCTACTGTTGGCATCAAATGGCTAGAAATCTCCACTTGCAAATTCCGCAAAAAGAGTGTTTCAAATCTGCTCTGTCTAAAGGGACGTTCCACTCTGTGAGTTGAATGCACACAACACAAAGAATTTACTGAGAATTCTTCCGTCTAGCATTCAATGAAGAAATCCCGTTTCCAACGAAGGCCTCAAACAGGTCCATATATCCACTTGCAGACTTTACAAACAGTGTGTTTCCAAACTCCTCTATGAAAAGAAAGGTTAAACTCTGTGAGTGGAACGCACACATCACAAAGCACTTTCTGAGAATGATTCTGTCTGGTTATTATACGGAAGATATTTCCTTTTCTGCAATTGTCCTCAAATCGCTTGAAATCTCCACCTGAAAATGCCACAGCAAGAGTGTTTCAAATCTGCTCTCTCTAAAGCAAGGTTCAACTCTGTGAGTTGAATACACACAACACAAAAAAGTTACTGAGAACTCTTCTTAGTCTAGCATGAAAGGAAGAAACCCCGTTTGCAACGAAGGCCTCAAAGAGGTCCAAATATCCACTTGCAGACATAACAAGCAGAGTGTTTCTAAACTGCTCTAAGAAAAGAAAGGTTAAACTCTGTGAGTTGAAGGCACACATCACAAAGTAGTTTCTGAGAATGATTCTGTCTAGTTTTTATTTGAAGATATTTCCTTTTCTACTGTTGGCATCAAATCGCTTGAAATCTCCACTTGCAAACTCCACAAAAAGAGTGTTTCAAATCTGCTCTGTGTAAAGGGACGTTCCACTCTGTGAGTTGAATACACACAGCACAAAGAAGTTACTGAGAATTCTTCTGTCTAGCATGAAATGAAGAAATCCCGTTTCCAACGAAGGCCTCAATGCGGTCCATATATCCACTTGCAGACTTTACAAACAGAGTGTTTCCAAACTGCTCTATGAAAAGAAAGGTAAAACTATGTGAGTTGAACGCACACATCACAAAGAATTTTCTGAGAATGATTCTGTCTGGTTTTTATTTGAAGATATTTCCCTTTCTACTGTTGGCATCAAATGGCTAGAAATCTCCACTTGCAAATTCCGCAAAAAGAGTGTTTCAAATCTGCTCTGTCTAAAGGGACGTTCCACTCTGTGAGTTGAATGCACACAACACAAAGAATTTACTGAGAATTCTTCCGTCTAGCATTCAATGAAGAAATCCCGTTTCCAACGAAGGCCTCAAAGAGGTCCATATATCCACTTGCAGACTTTACAAACAGTGTGTTTCCAAACTCCTCTATGAAAAGAAAGGTTAAACTTCTGTGAGTGGAACGCACACATCACAAAGCACTTTCTGAGAATGATTCTGTCTGGTTATTATACGAAGATATTTCCTTTTCTGCAATTGTCCCCAAATCGCTTGAAATCTCCACCTGAAAATGCCACAGCAAGAGTGTTTCAAATCTGCTCTCTCTAAAGCAATGTTCAACTCTGTGAGTTGAATACACAGAACACAAAAAAGTTACTGAGAACTCTTCTTAGTCTAGCATTAAAGGAAGAAACCCCGTTTGCAACGAAGGCCTCAAAGAGGTCCAAATATCCACTTGCAGACATAACAAGCAGAGTTTTTCTAAACTGCTCTAAGAAAAGAAAGGTTAAACTCTGTGAGTTGAAGGCACACATCACAAAGTAGTTTCTGAGAATGATTCTGTCTAGTTTTTATTTGAAGATATTTCCTTTTCTACTGTTGGCATCAAATCGCTTGAAATCTCCACTTGCAAACTCCACAAAAAGAGTGTTTCAAATCTGCTCTGTGTAAAGGGACGTTCCACTCTGTGAGTTGAATACACACAGCACAAAGAAGTTACTGAGAATTCTTCTGTCTAGCATGAAATGAAGAAATCCCGTTTCCAACGAAGGCCTCAATGCGGTCCATATATCCACTTGCAGACTTTACAAACAGAGTGTTTCCAAACTGCTCTATGAAAAGAAAGGTTAAACTATGTGAGTTGAACGCACACATCACAAAGAATTTTCTGAGAATGATTCTGTCTGGTTTTTATTTGAAGATATTTCCCTTTCTACTGTTGGCATCAAATGGCTAGAAATCTCCACTTGCAAATTCCGCAAAAAGAGTGTTTCAAATCTGCTCTGTCTAAAGGGACGTTCCACTCTGTGAGTTGAATGCACACAACACAAAGAATTTACTGAGAATTCTTCCGTCTAGCATTCAATGAAGAAATCCCGTTTCCAACGAAGGCCTCAAACAGGTCCATATATCCAATTGCAGACTTTACAAACAGTGTGTTTCCAAACTCCTCTATGAAAAGAAAGGTTAAACTCTGTGAGTTGAACGCACACATCACAAAGCACTTTCTGAGAATGATTCTGTCTGGTTGTTATACGAAGATATTTCCTTTTCTGCAATTGTCCTCAAATCGCTTGAAATCTCCACCTGAAAATGCCACAGCAAGAGTGTTTCAAATCTGCTCTCTCTAAAGCAAGGTTCAACTCTGTGAGTTGAATACACACAACACAAAAAAGTTACTGAGAACTCTTCTTAGTCTAGCATGAAAGGAAGAAACCCCGTTTGCAACGAAGGCCTCAAAGAGGTCCAAATATCCACTTGCAGACATAACAAGCAGAGTGTTTCTAAACTGCTCTAAGAAAAGAAAGGTTAAACTCTGTGAGTTGAAGGCACACATCACAAAGTAGTTTCTGAGAATGATTCTGTCTAGTTTTTATTTGAAGATATTTCCTTTTCTACTGTTGGCATCAAATCGCTTGAAATCTCCACTTGCAAACTCCACAAAAAGAGTGTTTCAAATCTGCTCTGTGTAAAGGGACGTTCCACTCTGTGAGTTGAATACACACAGCACAAAGAAGTTATTGAGAATTCTTCTGTCTAGCATGAAATGAAGAAATCCCGTTTCCAACGAAGGCCTCAATGCGGTCCATATATCCACTTGCAGACTTTACAAACAGAGTGTTTCCAAACTGCTCTATGAAAAGAAAGGTTAAACTATGTGAGTTGAACGCACACATCACAAAGAATTTTCTGAGAATGATTCTGTCTGGTTTTTATTTGAAGATATTTCCCTTTCTACTGTTGGCATCAAATGGCTAGAAATCTCCACTTGCAAATTCCGCAAAAAGAGTGTTTCAAATCTGCTCTGTCTAAAGGGACGTTCCACTCTGTGAGTTGAATGCACACCACACAAAGAATTTACTGAGAATTCTTCCGTCTAGCATTCAATGAAGAAATCCCGTTTCCAACGAAGGCCTCAAACAGGTCCATATATCCAATTGCAGACTTTACAAACAGTGTGTTTCCAAACTCCTCTATGAAAAGAAAGGTTAAACTCTGTGAGTTGAACGCACACATCACAAAGCACTTTCTGAGAATGATTCTGTCTGGTTGTTATACGAAGATATTTCCTTTTCTGCAATTGTCCTCAAATCGCTTGAAATCTCCACCTGAAAATGCCACAGCAAGAGTGTTTCAAATCTGCTCTCTCTAAAGCAAGGTTCAGCTCTGTGAGTTGAATACACACAACACAAAAAAGTTACTGAGAACTCTCCTTAGTCTAGCATTAAAGGAAGAAACGCCGTTTGCAACGAAGGCCTCAAAGAGGTCCAAATATCCACTTGCAGACATAACAAGCAGAGTGTTTCTAAACTGCTCTAAGAAAAGAAAGGTTAAACACTGTGAGTTGAAGGCACACATCACAAAGTAGTTTCTGAGAATGATTCTGTCTAGTTTTTATTTGAAGATATTTCCTTTTCTACTGTTGGCATCAAATCGCTTGAAATCTCCACTTGCAAACTCCACAAAAAGAGTGTTTCAAATCTGCTCTGTGCAAAGGGACGTTCCACTCTGTGAGTTGAATACACACAGCACAAAGAAGTTACTGAGAATTCTTCTGTCTAGCATGAAATGAAGAAATCCCGTTTCCAACGAAGGCCTCAATGCGGTCCATATATCCACTTGCAGACTTTACAAACAGAGTGTTTCCAAACTGCTCTATGAAAAGAAAGGTTAAACTATGTGAGTTGAACGCACACATCACAAAGAATTTTCTGAGAATGATTCTGTCTGGTTTTTATTTGAAGATATTTCCCTTTCTACTGTTGGCATCAAATGGCTAGAAATCTCCACTTGCAAATTCCGCAAAAAGAGTGTTTCAAATCTGCTCTGTCTAAAGGGACGTTCCACTCTGTGAGTTGAATGCACACAACACAAAGAATTTACTGAGAATTCTTCCGCCTAGCATTCAATGAAGAAATCCCGTTTCCAACGAAGGCCTCAAACAGGTCCATATATCCACTTGCAGACTTTACAAACAGAGTGTTTCCAAACTGCTCTATGAAAAGAAAGGTTAAACTATGTGAGTTGAACGCACACATCACAAAGAATTTTCTGAGAATGATTCTGTCTGGTTTTTATTTGAAGATATTTCCCTTTCTACTGTTGGCATCAAATGGCTAGAAATCTCCACTTGCAAATTCCGCAAAAAGAGTGTTTCAAATCTGCTGTGTCTAAAGGGACGTTCCACTCTGTGAGTTGAATGCACACAACACAAAGAATTTACTGAGAATTCTTCCGTCTAGCATTCAATGAAGAAATCCCGTTTCCAACGAAGGCCTCAAACAGGTCCATATATCCACTTGCAGACTTTACAAACAGTGTGTTTCCAAACTCCTCTATGAAAAGAAAGGTTAAACTCTGTGAGTGGAACGCACACATCACAAAGCACTTTCTGAGAATGATTCTCTCTGGTTATTATACGAAGATATTTCCTTTTCTGCAATTGTCCTCAAATCGCTTGAAATCTCCACCTGAAAATGCCACAGCAAGAGTGTTTCAAATCTGCTCTCTCTAAAGCAAGGTTCAACTCTGTGAGTTGAATACACACAACACAAAAAAGTTACTGAGAACTCTTCTTAGTCTAGCATGAAAGGAAGAAACCCCGTTTGCAACGAAGGCCTCAAAGAGGTCCAAATATCCACTTGCAGACATAACAAGCAGAGTGTTTCTAAACTGCTCTAAGAAAAGAAAGGTTAAACTCTGTGAGTTGAAGGCACACATCACAAAGTAGTTTCTGAGAATGATTCTGTCTAGTTTTTATTTGAAGATATTTCCTTTTCTACTGTTGGCATCAAATCGCTTGAAATCTCCACTTGCAAACTCCACAAAAAGAGTGTTTCAAATCTGCTCTGTGCAAAGGGACGTTCCACTCTGTGAGTTGAATACACACAGCACAAAGAAGTTACTGAGAATTCTTCTGTCTAGCATGAAATGAAGAAATCCCGTTTCCAACGAAGGCCTCAATGCGGTCCATATATCCACTTGCAGACTTTACAAACAGAGTGTTTCCAAACTGCTCTATGAAAAGAAAGGTTAAACTATGTGAGTTGAACGCACACATCACAAAGAATTTTCTGAGAATGATTCTGTCTGGTTTTTATTTGAAGATATTTCCCTTTCTACTGTTGGCATCAAATGGCTAGAAATCTCCACTTGCAAATTCCGCAAAAAGAGTGTTTCAAATCTGCTCTGTCTAAAGGGACGTTCCACTCTGTGAGTTGAATGCACACAACACAAAGAATTTACTGAGAATTCTTCCGTCTAGCATTCAATGAAGAAATCCCGTTTCCAACGAAGGCCTCAAAGAGGTCCATATATCCACTTGCAGACTTTACAAACAGTGTGTTTCCAAACTCCTCTATGAAAAGAAAGGTTAAACTCTGTGAGTGGAACGCACACATCACAAAGTACTTTCTGAGAATGATTCTGTCTGGTTATTATACGAAGATATTTCCTTTTCTGCAATTGTCCTCAAATCGCTTGAAATCTCCACCTGAAAATGCCACAGCAAGAGTGTTTCAAATCTGCTCTCTCTAAAGCAAGGTTCAACTCTGTGAGTTGAATACACACAACACAAAAAAGTTACTGAGAACTCTTCTTAGTCTAGCATGAAAGGAAGAAACCCCGTTTGCAACGAAGGCCTCAAAGAGGTCCAAATATCCACTTGCAGACATAACAAGCAGAGTGTTTCTAAACTGCTCTAAGAAAAGAAAGGTTAAACTCTGTGAGTTGAAGGCACACATCACAAAGTAGTTTCTGAGAATGATTCTGTCTAGTTTTTATTTGAAGATATTTCCTTTTCTACTGTTGGCATCAAATCGCTTGAAATCTCCACTTGCAAACTCCACAAAAAGAGTGTTTCAAATCTGCTCTGTGCAAAGGGACGTTCCACTCTGTGAGTTGAATACACACAGCACAAAGAAGTTACTGAGAATTCTTCTGTCTAGCATGAAATGAAGAAATCCCGTTTCGAACGAAGGCCTCAATGCGGTCCATATATCCACTTGCAGACTTTACAAACAGAGTGTTTCCAAACTGCTCTATGAAAAGAAAGGTTAAACTATGTGAGTTGAACGCACACATCACAAAGAATTTTCTGAGAATGATTCTGTCTGGTTTTTATTTGAAGATATTTCCCTTTCTACTGTTGGCATCAAATGGCTAGAAATCTCCACTTGCAAATTCCGCAAAAAGAGTGTTTCAAATCTGCTCTGTCTAAAGGGACGTTCCACTCTGTGAGTTGAATGCACACCACACAAAGAATTTACTGAGAATTCTTCCGTCTAGCATTCAATGAAGAAATCCCGTTTCCAACGAAGGCCTCAAACAGGTCCATATATCCAATTGCAGACTTTACAAACAGTGTGTTTCCAAACTCCTCTATGAAAAGAAAGGTTAAACTCTGTGAGTGGAACGCACACATCACAAAGCACTTTCTGAGAATGATTCTGTCTGGTTATTATACGAAGATATTTCCTTTTCTGCAATTGTCCTCAAATCGCTTGAAATCTCCACCTGAAAATGCCACAGCAAGAGTGTTTCAAATCTGCTCTCTCTAAAGCAAGGTTCAACCCTGTGAGTTGAATACACACAACACAAAAAAGTTACTGAGAACTCTTCTTAGTCTAGCATGAAAGGAAGAAACCCCGTTTGCAACGAAGGCCTCAAAGAGGTCCAAATATCCACTTGCAGACATAACAAGCAGAGTGTTTCTAAACTGCTCTAAGAAAAGAAAGGTTAAACTCTGTGAGTTGAAGGCACACATCACAAAGTAGTTTCTGAGAATGATTCTGTCTAGTTTTTATTTGAAGATATTTCCTTTTCTACTGTTGGCATCAAATCGCTTGAAATCTCCACTTGCAAACTCCACAAAAAGAGTGTTTCAAATCTGCTCTGTGCAAAGGGACGTTCCACTCTGTGAGTTGAATACACCCAGCACAAAGAAGATACTGAGAATTCTTCTGTCTAGTATGAAATGAAGAAATCCCGTTTCCAACGAAGGCCTCAATGCGGTCCATATATCCACTTGCAGACTTTACAAACAGAGTGTTTCCAAACTGCTCTATGAAAAGAAAGGTTAAACTATGTGAGTTGAACGCACACATCACAAAGAATTTTCTGAGAATGATTCTGTCTGGTTTTTATTTGAAGATATTTCCCTTTCTACTGTTGGCATCAAATGGCTAGAAATCTCCACTTGCAAATTCCGCAAAAAGAGTGTTTCAAATCTGCTCTGTCTAAAGGGACGTTCCACTCTGTGAGTTGAATGCACTCAACACAAAGAATTTACTGAGAATCCTTCCGTCTAGCATTCAATGAAGAAATCCCGTTTCCAACGAAGGCCTCAAACAGGTCCATATATCCAATTGCAGACTTTACAAACAGTGTGTTTCCAAACTCCTCTATGAAAAGAAAGGTTAAACTCTGTGAGTTGAACGCACACATCACAAAGCACTTTCTGAGAATGATTCTGTCTGGTTATTATACGAAGATATTTCCTTTTCTGCAATTGTCCTCAAATCGCTTGAAATCTCCACCTGAAAATTCCACAGCGAGAGTGTTTCAAATCTGCTCTCTCTAAAGCAAGGTTCAACTCTGTGAGTTGAATACACACAACACAAAAAAGTTACTGAGAACTCTTCTTAGTCTAGCATGAAAGGAAGAAACCCCGTTTGCAACGAAGGCCTCAAAGAGGTCCAAATATCCACTTGCAGACATAACAAGCAGAGTGTTTCTAAACTGCTCTAAGAAAAGAAAGGTTAAACTCTGTGAGTTGAAGGCACACATCACAAAGTAGTTTCTGAGAATGATTCTGTCTAGTTTTTATTTGAAGATATTTCCTTTTCTACTGTTGGCATCAAATCGCTTGAAATCTCCACTTGCAAACTCCACAAAAAGAGTGTTTCAAATCTGCTCTGTGCAATGGGACGTTCCACTCTGTGAGTTGAATACACACAGCACAAAGAAGTTACTGAGAATTCTTCTGTCTAGCATGAAATGAAGAAATCCCGTTCCCAACGAAGGCCTCAATGCGGTCCATATATCCACTTGCAGACTTTACAAACAGAGTGTTTCCAAACTGCTCTATGAAAAGAGAGGTTAAACTATGTGAGTTGAACGCACACATCACAAAGAATTTTCTGAGAATGATTCTGTCTGGTTTTTATTTGAAGATATTTCCCTTTCTACTGTTGGCATCAAATGGCTAGAAATCTCCACTTGCAAATTCCGCAAAAAGAGTGTTTCAAATCTGCTCTGTCTAAAGGGACGTTCCACTCTGTGAGTTGAATGCACACAACACAAAGAATTTACTGAGAATTCTTCCGTCTAGCATTCAATGAAGAAATCCCGTTTCCAACGAAGGCCTCAAACAGGTCCATATATCCAATTGCAGACTTTACAAACAGTGTGTTTCCAAACTCCTCTATGAAAAGAAAGGTTAAACTCTGTGAGTTGAACGCACACATCACAAAGCACTTTCTGAGAATGATTCTGTCTGGTTATTATACGAAGATATTTCCTTTTCTGCAATTGTCCTCAAATCGCTTGAAATCTCCACCTGAAAATGCCACAGCAATAGTGTTTCAAATCTGCTCTCTCTAAAGCAAGGTTCAACTCTGTGAGTTGAATACACACAACACAAAAAAGTTACTGAGAACTCTTCTTAGTCTAGCATGAAAAGAAGAAACCCCGTTTGCAACGAAGGCCTCAAAGAGGTCCAAATATCCACTTGCAGACATAACAAGCAGAGTGTTCCTAAACTGCTCTAAGAAAAGAAAGGTTAAACTCTGTGAGTTGAAGGCACACATCACAAAGTAGTTTCTGAGAATGATTCTGTCTAGTTTTATTTGAAGATATTTCCTTTTCTACTGTTGGCATCAAATCGCTTGAAATCTCCACTTGCAAATTCCACAAAAAGAGTGTTTCAAATCTGCTCTGTGCAAAGGGACGTTCCACTCTGTGAGTTGAATACACACAGCACAAAGAAGTTACTGAGAATTCTTCTGTCTAGCATGAAATGAAGAAATCCCGTTTCCAACGAAGGCCTCAATGCGGTCCATATATCCACTTGCAGACTTTACAAACAGAGTGTTTCCAAACTGCTCTATGAAAAGAAAGGTTAAACTATGTGAGTTGAACGCACACATCACAAAGAATTTTCTGAGAATGATTCTGTCTGGTTTTTATTTGAAGATATTTCCCTTTCTACTGTTGGCATCAAATGGCTAGAAATCTCCACTTGCAAATTCCGCAAAAAGAGTGTTTCAAATCTGCTCTGTCTAAAGGGACGTTCCACTCTGTGAGTTGAATGCACACAACACAAAGAATTTACTGAGAATTCTTCCGCCTAGCATTCAATGAAGAAATCCCGTTTCCAACGAAGGCCTCAAACAGGTCCATATATCCACTTGCAGACTTTACAAACAGAGTGTTTCCAAACTGCTCTATGAAAAGAAAGGTTAAAGTATGTGAGTTGAACGCACACATCACAAAGAATTTTCTGAGAATGATTCTGTCTGGTTTTTATTTGAAGATATTTCCCTTTCTACTGTTGGCATCAAATGGCTAGAAATCTCCACTTGCAAATTCCGCAAAAAGAGTGTTTCAAATCTGCTGTGTCTAAAGGGACGTTCCACTCTGTGAGTTGAATGCACACAACACAAAGAATTTACTGAGAATTCTTCCGTCTAGCATTCAATGAAGAAATCCCGTTTCCAACGAAGGCCTCAAACAGGTCCATATATCCACTTGCAGACTTTACAAACAGTGTGTTTCCAAACTCCTCTATGAAAAGAAAGGTTAAACTCTGTGAGTGGAACGCACACATCACAAAGCACTTTCTGAGAATGATTCTCTCTGGTTATTATACGAAGATATTTCCTTTTCTGCAATTGTCCTCAAATCGCTTGAAATCTCCACCTGAAAATGCCACAGCAAGAGTGTTTCAAATCTGCTCTCTCTAAAGCAAGGTTCAACTCTGTGAGTTGAATACACACAACACAAAAAAGTTACTGAGAACTCTTCTTAGTCTAGCATGAAAGGAAGAAACCCCGTTTGCAACGAAGGCCTCAAAGAGGTCCAAATATCCACTTGCAGACATAACAAGCAGAGTGTTTCTAAACTGCTCTAAGAAAAGAAAGGTTAAACTCTGTGAGTTGAAGGCACACATCACAAAGTAGTTTCTGAGAATGATTCTGTCTAGTTTTTATTTGAAGATATTTCCTTTTCTACTGTTGGCATCAAATCGCTTGAAATCTCCACTTGCAAACTCCACAAAAAGAGTGTTTCAAATCTGCTCTGTGTAAAGGGACGTTCCACTCTGTGAGTTGAATATACACAGCACAAAGAAGTTACTGAGAATTCTTCTGTCTAGCATGAAATGAAGAAATCCCGTTTCCAACGAAGGCCTCAATGCGGTCCATATATCCACTTGCAGACTTTACAAACAGAGTGTTTCCAAACTGCTCTATGAAAAGAAAGGTTAAACTATGTGAGTTGAACGCACACATCACAAAGAATTTTCTGAGAATGATTCTGTCTGGTTTTTATTTGAAGATATTTCCCTTTCTACTGTTGGCATCAAATGGCTAGAAATCTCCACTTGCAAATTCCGCAAAAAGAGTGTTTCAAATCTGCTCTGTCTAAAGGGACGTTCCACTCTGTCAGTTGAATGCACACAACACAAAGAATTTACTGAGAATTCTTCCGTCTAGCATTCAATGAAGAAATCCCGTTTCCAACGAAGGCCTCAAACAGGTCCATATATCCACTTGCAGACTTTACAAACAGTGTGTTTCCAAACTCCTCTATGAAAAGAAAGGTTAAACTCGGTGAGTTGAACGCACACATCACAAAGCACTTTCTGAGAATGATTCTGTCTGGTTATTATACGAAGATATTTCCTTTTCTGCAATTGTCCTCAAATCGCTTGAAATCTCCACCTGAAAATGCCACAGCAAGAGTGTTTCAAATCTGCTCTCTCTAAAGCAAGGTTCAACTCTGTGAGTTGAATACACACAACACAAAAAAGTTACTGAGAACTCTTCTTAGTCTAGCATTAAAAGAAGAAACCCCGTTTGCAACGAAGGCCTCAAAGAGGTCCAAATATCCACTTGCAGACATAACAAGCAGAGTGTTTCTAAACTGCTCTAAGAAAAGAAAGGTTAAACTCTGAGTTGAAGGCACACATCACAAAGTAGTTTCTGAGAATGATTCTGTCTAGTTTTTATTTGAAGATATTTCCTTTTCTACTGTTGGCATCAAATCGCTTGAAATCTCCACTTGCAAACTCCACAAAAAGAGTGTTTCAAATCTGCTCTGTGTAAAGGGACGTTCCACTCTGTGAGTTGAATACACACAGCACAAAGAAGTTACTGAGAATTCTTCTGTCTAGCATGAAATGAAGAAGTCCCGTTTCCAACGAAGGCCTCAATGCGGTCCATATATCCACTTGCAGACTTTACAAACAGAGTGTTTCCAAACTGCTCTATGAAAAGAAAGGTTAAACTATGTGAGTTGAACGCACACATCACAAAGAATTTTCTGAGAATGATTCTGTCTGGTTTTTATTTGAAGATATTTCCCTTTCTACTGTTGGCATCAAATGGCTAGAAATCTCCACTTGCAAATTCCGCAAAAAGAGTGTTTCAAATCTGCTCTGTCTAAAGGGACGTTCCACTCTGTGAGTTGAATGCACACAACACAAAGAATTTACTGAGAATTCTTCCGTCTAGCATTCAATGAAGAAATCCCGTTTCCAAAGAAGGCCTCAAACAGGTCCATATATCCAATTGCAGACTTTACAAACAGTGTGTTTCCAAACTCCTCTATGAAAAGAAAGGTTAAACTCTGTGAGTTGAACGCACACATCACAAAGCACTTTCTGAGAATGATTCTGTCTGGTTATTATACGAAGATATTTCCTTTTCTGCAATTGTCCTCAAATCGCTTGAAATCTCCACCTGAAAATGCCACAGCAAGAGTGTTTCAAATCTGCTCTCTCTAAAGCAAGGTTCAACTCTGTGAGTTGAATACACACAACACAAAAAAGTTACTGAGAACTCTTCTTAGTCTAGCATTAAAGGAAGAAACCCCGTTTGCAACGAAGGCCTCAAAGAGGTCCAAATATCCACTTGCAGACATAACAAGCAGAGTGTTTCTAAACTGCTCTAAGAAAAGAAAGGTTAAACTCTGTGAGTTGAAGGCACACATCACAAAGTAGTTTCCTGAGAATGATTATCTGTCTAGTTTTTATTTGAAGATATTTCCTTTTCTACTGTTGGCATCAAATCGCTTGAAATCTCCACTTGCAAACTCCACAAAAAGAGTGTTTAAAATCTGCTCTGTGTAAAGGGACGTTCCACTCTGTGAGTTGAATACACACAGCACAAAGAAGTTACTGAGAATTCTTCTGTCTAGCATGAAATGAAGAAATCCCGTTTCCAACGAAGGCCTCAATGCGGTCCATATATCCACTTGCAGACTTTACAAACAGAGTGTTTCCAAACTGCTCTATGAAAAGAAAGGTTAAACTATGTGAGTTGAACGCACACATCACAAAGAATTTTCTGAGAATGATTCTGTCTGGTTTTTATTTGAAGATATTTCCCTTTCTACTGTTGGCATCAAATGGCTAGAAATCTCCACTTGCAAATTCCGCAAAAAGAGTGTTTCAAATCTGCTCTGTCTAAAGGGACGTTCCACTCTGTCAGTTGAATGCACACAACACAAAGTATTTACTGAGAATTCTTCCGTCTAGCATTCAATGAAGAAATCCCGTTTCCAACGAAGGCCTCAAACAGGTCCATATATCCAATTGCAGACTTTACAAACAGTGTGTTTCCAAACTCCTCTATGAAAAGAAAGGTTAAACTCTGTGAGTTGAACGCACACATCACAAAGCACTTTCTGAGAATGATTCTGTCTGGTTGTTATACGAAGATATTTCCTTTTCTGAAATTGTCCTCAAATCGCTTGAAATCTCCACCTGAAAATGCCACAGCAAGAGTGTTTCAAATCTGCTCTCTCTAAAGCAAGGTTCAGCTCTGTGAGTTGAATACACACAACACAAAAAAGTTACTGAGAACTCTTCTTAGTCTAGCATGAAAGGAAGAAACCCCGTTTACAACGAAGGCCTCAAAGAGGTCCAAATATCCACTTGCAGACATAACAAGCAGAGTGTTTCTAAACTGCTCTAAGAAAAGAAAGGTTGAACTCTGTGAGTTGAAGGCACACATCACAAAGTAGTTTCTGAGAATGATTCTGTCTAGTTTTTATTTGAAGATATTTCCTTTTCTACTGTTGGCATCAAATCGCTTGAAATCTCCACTTGCAAATTCCACAAAAAGAGTGTTTCAAATCTGCTCTGTGCAAAGGGACGTTCCACTCTGTGAGTTGAATACACACAGCACAAAGAAGTTACTGAGAATTCTTCTGTCTAGCATGAAATGAAGAAATCCCGTTTCCAACGAAGGCCTCAATGCGGTCCATATATCCACTTGCAGACTTTACAAACAGAGTGTTTCCAAACTGCTCTATGAAAAGAAAGGTTAAACTATGTGAGTTGAACGCACACATCACAAAGAATTTTCTGAGAATGATTCTGTCTGGTTTTTATTTGAAGATATTTCCCTTTCTACTGTTGGCATCAAATGGCTAGAAATCTCCACTTGCAAATTCCGCAAAAAGAGTGTTTCAAATCTGCTCTGTCTAAAGGGACGTTCCACTCTGTGAGTTGAATGCACACAACACAAAGAATTTACTGAGAATTCTTCCGTCTAGCATTCAATGAAGAAATCCCGTTTCCAACGAAGGCCTCAAACAGGTCCATATATCCACTTGCAGACTTTACAAACAGTGTGTTTCCAAACTCCTCTATGAAAAGACAGGTTAAACTCTGTGAGTTGAACGCACACATCACAAAGCACTTTCTGAGAATGATTCTGTCTGGTTATTATACGAAGATATTTCCTTTTCTGCAATTGTCCTCAAATCGCTTGAAATCTCCACCTGAAAATGCCACAGCAAGAGTGTTTCAAATCTGCTCTCTCTAAAGCAAGGTTCAACTCTGTGAGTTGAATACACACAACACAAAAAAGTTACTGAGAACTCTTCTTAGTCTAGCATGAAAGGAAGAAACCCCGTTTGCAACGAAGGCCTCAAAGAGGTCCAAATATCCACTTGCAGACATAACAAGCAGAGTGTTTCTAAACTGCTCTAAGAAAAGAAAGGTTGAACTCTGTGAGTTGAAGGCACACATCACAAAGTAGTTTCTGAGAATGATTCTGTCTAGTTTTTATTTGAAGATATTTCCTTTTCTACTGTTGGCATCAAATCGCTTGAAATCTCCACTTGCAAATTCCACAAAAAGAGTGTTTCAAATCTGCTCTGTGCAAAGGGACGTTCCACTCTGTGAGTTGAATACACACAGCACAAAGAAGTTACTGAGAATTCTTCTGTCTAGCATGAAATGAAGAAATCCCGTTTCCAACGAAGGCCTCAATGCGGTCCATATATCCACTTGCAGACTTTACAAACAGAGTGTTTCCAAACTGCTCTATGAAAAGAAAGGTTAAACTATGTGAGTTGAACGCACACATCACAAAGAATTTTCTGAGAATGATTCTGTCTGGTTTTTATTTGAAGATGTTTCCCTTTCTACTGTTGGCATCAAATGGCTAGAAATCTCCACTTGCAAATTCCGCAAAAAGAGTGTTTCAAATCTGCTCTGTCTAAAGGGACGTTCCACTCTGTGAGTTGAATGCACACAACACAAAGAATTTACTGAGAATTCTTCCGTCTAGCATTCAATGAAGAAATCCCGTTTCCAACGAAGGCCTCAAACAGGTCCATATATCCACTTGCAGACTTTACAAACAGTGTGTTTCCAAACTCCTCTATGAAAAGAAAGGTTAAACTCTGTGAGTTGAACGCACACATCACAAAGCACTTTCTGAGAATGATTCTGTCTGGTTATTATACGAAGATATTTCCTTTTCTGCAATTGTCCTCAAATCGCTTGAAATCTCCACCTGAAAATGCCACAGCAAGAGTGTTTCAAATCTGCTCTCTCTAAAGCAAGGTTCAACTCTGTGAGTTGAATACACACAACACAAAAAAGTTACTGAGAACTCTTCTTAGTCTAGCATGAAAGGAAGAAACCCCGTTTGCAACGAAGGCCTCAAAGAGGTCCAAATATCCACTTGCAGACATAACAAGCAGAGTGTTTCTAAACTGCTCTAAGAAAAGAAAGGTTAAACTCTGTGAGTTGAAGGCACACATCACAAAGTAGTTTCTGAGAATGATTCTGTCTAGTTTTTATTTGAAGATATTTCCTTTTCTACTGTTGGCATCAAATCGCTTGAAATCTCCACTTGCAAATTCCACAAAAAGAGTGTTTCAAATCTGCTCTGTGCAAAGGGACGTTCCACTCTGTGAGTTGAATACACACAGCACAAAGAAGTTACTGAGAATTCTTCTGTCTAGCATGAAATGAAGAAATCCCGTTTCCAACGAAGGCCTCAATGCGGTCCATATATCCACTTGCAGACTTTACAAACAGAGTGTTTCCAAACTGCTCTATGAAAAGAAAGGTTAAACTATGTGAGTTGAACGCACACATCACAAAGAATTTTCTGAGAATGATTCTGTCTGGTTTTTATTTGAAGATGTTTCCCTTTCTACTGTTGGCATCAAATGGCTAGAAATCTCCACTTGCAAATTCCGCAAAAAGAGTGTTTCAAATCTGCTCTGTCTAAAGGGACGTTCCACTCTGTCAGTTGAATGCACACAACACAAAGAATTTACTGAGAATTCTTCCGTCTAGCATTCAATGAAGAAATCCCGTTTCCAACGAAGGCCTCAAACAGGTCCATATATCCACTTGCAGACTTTACAAACAGAGTGTTTCCAAACTGCTCTATGAAAAGAAAGGTTAAACTATGTGAGTTGAACGCACACATCACAAAGAATTTTCTGAGAATGATTCTGTCTGGTTATTATACGAAGATATTTCCTTTTCTGCAATTGTCCTCAAATCGCTTGAAATCTCCACCTGAAAATGCCACAGCAAGAGTGTTTCAAATCTGCTCTCTCTAAAGCAAGGTTCAACTCTGTGAGTTGAATACACACAACACAAAAAAGTTACTGAGAACTCTTCTTAGTCTAGCGTGAAAGGAAGAAACCCCGTTTGCAACGAAGGCCTCAAAGAGGTCCAAATATCCACTTGCAGACATAACAAGGAGAGTGTTTCTAAACTGCTCTAAGAAAAGAAAGGTTAAACTCTGTGAGTTGAAGGCACACATCACAAAGTAGTTTCTGAGAATGATTCTGTCTAGTTTTTATTTGAAGATATTTCCTTTTCTACTGTTGGCATCAAATCGCTTGAAATCTCCACTTGCAAACTCCACAAAAAGAGTGTTTCAAATCTGCTCTGTGCAAAGGGATGTTCCACTCTGTGAGTTGAATACACACAGCACAAAGAAGTTACTGAGAATTCTTCTGTCTAGTATGAAATGAAGAAATCCCGTTTCCAACGAAGGCCTCAATGCGGTCCATATATCCACTTGCAGACTTTACAAACAGAGTGTTTCCAAACTGCTCTATGAAAAGAAAGGTTAAACTATGTGAGTTGAACGCACACATCACAAAGAATTTTCTGAGAATGATTCTGTCTGGTTTTTATTTGAAGATATTTCCCTTTCTACTGTTGGCATCAAATGGCTAGAAATCTCCACTTGCAAATTCCGCAAAAAGAGTGTTTCAAATCTGCTCTGTCTAAAGGGACGTTCCACTCTGTGAGTTGAATGCACACAACACAAAGAATTTACTGAGAATCCTTCCGTCTAGCATTCAATGATGAAATCCCGTTTCCAACGAAGGCCTCAAACAGGTCCATATATCCAATTGTAGACTTTACAAACAGTGTGTTTCCAAACTCCTCTATGAAAAGAAAGGTTAAACTCTGTGAGTTGAACGCACACATCACAAAGCACTTTCTGAGAATGATTCTGTCTGGTTATTATACGAAGATATTTCCTTTTCTGCAATTGTCCTCAAATCGCTTGAAATCTCCACCTGAAAATTCCACAGCGAGAGTGTTTCAAATCTGCTCTCTCTAAAGCAAGGTTCAACTCTGTGAGTTGAATACACACAACACAGAAAAGTTACTGAGAACTCTTCTTAGTCTAGCATTAAAGGAAGAAACCCCGTTTGCAACGAAGGCCTCAAAGAGGTCCAAATATCCACTTGCAGACATAACAAGCAGAGTGTTTCTAAACTGCTCTAAGAAAAGAAAGGTTAAACTCTGTGAGTTGAAGGCACACATCACAAAGTAGTTTCTGAGAATGATTCTGTCTAGTTTTTATTTGAAGATATTTCCTTTTCTACTGTTGGCATCAAATCGCTTGAAATCTCCACTTGCAAACTCCACAAAAAGAGTGTTTCAAATCTGCTCTGTGCAAAGGGACGTTCCACTCTGTGAGTTGAATACACACAGCACAAAGAAGTTACTGAGAATTCTTCTGTCTAGCATGAAATGAAGAAATCCCGTTTCCAACGAAGGCCTCAATGCGGTCCATATATCCACTTGCAGACTTTACAAACAGAGTGTTTCCAAACTGCTCTATGAAAAGAAAGGTTAAACTATGTGAGTTGAACGCACACATCACAAAGAATTTTCTGAGAATGATTCTGTCTGGTTTTTATTTGAAGATATTTCCCTTTCTACTGTTGGCATCAAATGGCTAGAAATCTCCACTTGCAAATTCCGCAAAAAGAGTGTTTCAAATCTGCTCTGTCTAAAGGGACGTTCCACTCTGTGAGTTGAATGCACACAACACAAAGAATTTACTGAGAATTCTTCCGTCTAGCATGCAATGAAGAAATCCCGTTTCCAACGAAGGCCTCAAACAGGTCCATATATCCAATTGCAGACTTTACAAACAGTGTGTTTCCAAACTCCTCTATGAAAAGAAAGGTTAAACTCTGTGAGTTGAACGCACACATCACAAAGCACTTTCTGAGAATGATTCTGTCTGGTTTTTATTTGAAGATATTTCCCTTTCTACTGTTGGCATCAAATGGCTAGAAATCTCCACTTGCAAATTCCGCAAAAAGAGTGTTTCAAATCTGCTCTGTCTAAAGGGACGTTCCACTCTGTGAGTTGAATGCACACAACACAAAGAATTTACTGAGAATTCTTCCGTCTAGCATTCAATGAAGAAATCCCGTTTCCAAAGAAGGCCTCAAACAGGTCCATATATCCACTAGCAGACTTTACAAACAGTGTGTTTCCAAACTCCTCTATGAAAAGAAAGGTTAAACTCTGTGAGTTGAACGCACACATCACAAAGCACTTTCTGAGAATGATTCTGTCTGGTTATTATACGAAGATATTTCCTTTTCTGCAATTGTCCTCAAATCGCTTGAAATCTCCACCTGAAAATGCCACAGCAAGAGTGTTTCAAATCTGCTCTCTCTAAAGCAAGGTTCAACTCTGTGAGTTGAATACACACAACACAAAAAAGTTACTGAGAACTCTTCTTAGTCTAGCATGAAAGGAAGAAACCCCGTTTGCAACGAAGGCCTCAAAGAGGTCCAAATATCCACTTGCAGACATAACAAGCAGAGTGTTTCTAAACTGCTCTAAGAAAAGAAAGGTTAAACTCTGTGAGTTGAAGGCACACATCACAAAGTAGTTTCTGAGAATGATTCTGTCTAGTTTTTATTTGAAGATATTTCCTTTTCTACTGTTGGCATCAAATCGCTTGAAATCTCCACTTGCAAACTCCACAAAAAGAGTGTTTGAAATCTGCTCTGTGCAAAGGGACGTTCCACTCTGTGAGTTGAATACACACAGCACAAAGAAGTTACTGAGAATTCTTCTGTCTAGCATGAAATGAAGAAATCCCGTTTCCAACGAAGGCCTCAATGCGGTCCATATATCCACTTGCAGACTTTACAAACAGAGTGTTTCCAAACTGCTCTATGAAAAGAAAGGTTAAACTATGTGAGTTGAACGCACACATCACAAAGAATTTTCTGAGAATGATTCTGTCTGGTTTTTATTTGAAGATATTTCCCTTTCTACTGTTGGCATCAAATGGCTAGAAATCTCCACTTGCAAATTCCGCAAAAAGAGTGTTTTAAATCTGCTCTGTCTAAAGGGACGTTCCACTCTGTGAGTTGAATGCACACAACACAAAGAATTTACTGAGAATTCTTCCGTCTAGCATTCAATGAAGAAATCCCGTTTCCAACGAAGGCCTCAAACAGGTCCATATATCCAATTGCAGACTTTACAAACAGTGTGTTTCCAAACTCCTCTATGGAAAGAAAGGTTAAACTCTGTGAGTTGAACGCACACATCACAAAGCACTTTCTGAGAATGATTCTGTCTGGTTATTATACGAAGATATTTCCTTTTCTGCAATTGTCCTCAAATCGCTTGAAATCTCCACCTGAAAATGCCACAGCAAGAGTGTTTCAAATCTGCTCTCTCTAAAGCAAGGTTCAACTCTGTGAGTTGAATACACACAACACAAAAAAGTTACTGAGAACTCTTCTTAGTCTAGCATGAAAGGAAGAAACCCCGTTTGCAACGAAGGCCTCAAAGAGGTCCAAATATCCACTTGCAGACATAACAAGCAGAGTGTTTCTAAACTGCTCTAAGAAAAGAAAGGTTAAACTCTGTGAGTTGAAGGCACACATCACAAAGTAGTTTCTGAGAATGATTCTGTCTAGTTTTTATTTGAAGATATTTCCTTTTCTACTGTTGGCATCAAATCGCTTGAAATCTCCACTTGCAAATTCCACAAAAAGAGTGTTTCAAATCTGCTCTGTGCAAAGGGACGTTCCACTCTGTGAGTTGAATACACACAGCACAAAGAAGTTACTGAGAATTCTTCTGTCTAGCATGAAATGAAGAAATCCCGTTTCCAACGAAGGCCTCAATGCGGTCCATATATCCACTTGCAGACTTTACAAACAGAGTGTTTCCAAACTGCTCTATGAAAAGAAAGGTTAAACTATGTGAGTTGAACGCACACATCACAAAGAATTTTCTGAGAATGATTCTGTCTGGTTTTTATTTGAAGATATTTCCCTTTCTACTGTTGGCATCAAATGGCTAGAAATCTCCACTTGCAAATTCCGCAAAAAGAGTGTTTCAAATCTGCTCTGTCTAAAGGGACGTTCCACTCTGTGAGTTGAATGGACACAACACAAAGAATTTACTGAGAATTCTTCCGTCTAGCATTCAATGAAGAAATCCCGTTTCCAACGAAGGCCTCAAACAGGTCCATGTATCCACCTGCAGACTTTACAAACAGTGTGTTTCCAAACTCCTCTATGAAAAGAAAGGTTAAACTCTGTGAGTTGAACGCACACATCACAAAGCACTTTCTGAGAATGATTCTGTCTGGTTATTATACGAAGATATTTCCTTTTCTGCAATTGTCCTCAAATCGCTTGAAATCTCCACCTGAAAATGCCACAGCAAGAGTGTTTCAAATCTGCTCTCTCTAAAGCAAGGTTCAACTCTGTGAGTTGAATACACACAACACAAAAAAGTTACTGAGAACACTTCTTAGTCTAGCATGAAAGGAAGAAACCCCGTTTGCAACGAAGGCCTCAAAGAGGTCCAAATATCCCCTTGCAGACATAACAAGCAGAGTGTTTCTAAACTGCTCTAAGAAAAGAAAGGTTAAACTCTGTGAGTTAAAGGCACACATCACAAAGTAGTTTCTGAGAATGATTCTGTCTAGTTTTTATTTGAAGATATTTCCTTTTCTACTGTTGGCATCAAATCGCTTGAAATCTCCACTTGCAAACTCCACAAAAAGAGTGTTTCAAATCTGCTCTGTGCAAAGGGACGTTCCACTCTGTGAGTTGAATACACACAGCACAAAGAAGTTACTGAGAATTCTTCTGTCTAGCATGAAATGAAGAAATCCCGTTTCCAACGAAGGCCTCAATGCGGTCCATATATCCACTTGCAGACTTTACAAACAGAGTGTTTCCAAACTGCTCTATGAAAAGAAAGGTTAAACTATGTGAGTTGAACGCACACATCACAAAGAATTTTCTGAGAATGATTCTGTCTGGTTTTTATTTGAAGATATTTCCCTTTCTACTGTTGGCATCAAATGGCTAGAAATCTCCACTTGCAAATTCCGCAAAAAGAGTGTTTCAAATCTGCTCTGTCTAAAGGGACGTTCCACTCTCTGAGTTGAATGCACACAACACAAAGAATTTACTGAGAATTCTTCCGTCTAGCATTCAATGAAGAAATCCCGTTTCCAACGGAGGCCTCAAACAGGTCCATATATCCAATTGCAGACTTTACAAACAGTGTGTTTCCAAACTCCTCTATGAAAAGAAAGGTTAAACTCTGTGAGTTGAACGCACACATCACAAAGCACTTTCTGAGAATGATTCTGTCTGGTTGTTATACGAAGATATTTCCTTTTCTGCAATTGTCCTCAAATCGCTTGAAATCTCCACCTGAAAATGCCACAGCAAGAGTGTTTCAAATCTGCTCTCTCTAAAGCAAGGTTCAACTCTGTGAGTTGAATACACACAACACAAAAAAGTTACTGAGAACTCTTCTTAGTCTAGCATTAAAGGAAGAAACCCTGTTTGCAACGAAGGCCTCAAAGAGGTCCAAATATCCACTTGCAGACATAACAAGCAGAGTGTTTCTAAACTGCTCTAAGAAAAGAAAGGTTAAACTCTGTGAGTTGAAGGCACACATCACAAAGTAGTTTCTGAGAATGATTCTGTCTAGTTTTTATTTGAAGATATTTCCTTTTCTACTGTTGGCATCAAATCGCTTGAAATCTCCACTTGCAAACTCCACAAAAAGAGTGTTTCAAATCTGCTCTGTGCAAAGGGACGTTCCACTCTGTGAGTTGAATACACACAGCACAAAGAAGTTACTGAGAATTCTTCTGTCTAGCATGAAATGAAGAAATCCCTTTTCCAACGAAGGCCTCAATGCGGTCCATATATCCACTTGCAGACTTTACAAACAGAGTGTTTCCAAACTGCTCTATGAAAAGAAAGGTTAAACTATGTGAGTTGAACGCACACATCACAAAGAATTTTCTGAGAATGATTCTGTCTGGTTTTTATTTGAAGATATTTCCCTTTCTACTGTTGGCATCAAATGGCTAGAAATCTCCACTTGCAAATTCCGCAAAAAGAGTGTTTCAAATCTGCTCTGTCTAAAGGGACGTTCCACTCTGTGAGTTGAATGCACACCACACAAAGAATTTACTGAGAATTCTTCCGTCTAGCATTCAATGAAGAAATCCCGTTTCCAACGAAGGCCTCAAACAGGTCCATATATCCAATTGCAGACTTTACAAACAGTGTGTTTCCAAACTCCTCTATGAAAAGAAAGGTTAAACTCTGTGAGTTGAACGCACACATCACAAAGCACTTTCTGAGAATGATTCTGTCTGGTTATTATACGAAGATATTTCCTTTTCTGCAATTGTCCTCAAAACGCTTGAAATCTCCACCTGAAAATGCCACAGCAAGAGTGTTTCAAATCTGCTCTCCCTAAAGCAAGGTTCAACTCTGTGAGTTGAATACACACAACACAAAAAAGTTACTGAGAACTCTTCTTAGTCTAGCATTAAAGGAAGAAACCCCGTTTGCAACGAAGGCCTCAAAGAGGTCCAAATATCCACTTGCAGACATAACAAGCAGAGTGTTTCTAAACTGCTCTAAGAAAAGAAAGGTTAAACTCTGTGAGTTGAAGGCACACATCACAAAGTAGTTTCTGAGAATGATTCTGTCTAGTTTTTATTTGAAGATATTTCCTTTTCTACTGTTGGCATCAAATCGCTTGAAATCTCCACTTGCAAACTCCACAAAAAGAGTGTTTCAAATCTGCTCTGTGCAAAGGGACGTTCCACTCTGTGAGTTGAATACACACAGCACAAAGAAGTTACTGAGAATTCTTCTGTCTAGCATGAAATGAAGAAATCCCGTTTCCAACGAAGGCCTCAATGCGGTCCATATATCCACTTGCAGACTTTACAAACAGAGTGTTTCCAAACTGCTCTATGAAAAGAAAGGTTAAACTATGTGAGTTGAACGCACACATCACAAAGAATTTTCTGAGAATGATTCTGTCTGGTTTTTATTTGAAGATATTTCCCTTTCTACTGTTGGCATCAAATGGCTAGAAATCTCCACTTGCAAATTCCGCAAAAAGAGTGTTTCAAATCTGCTCTGTCTAAAGGGACGTTCCACTCTGTGAGTTGAATGCACACAACACAAAGAATTTACTGAGAATTCTTCCGTCTAGCATTCAATGAAGAAATCCCGTTTCCAACGAAGGCCTCAAACAGGTCCATATATCCAATTGCAGACTTTACAAACAGTGTGTTTCCAAACTCCTCTATGAAAAGAAAGGTTAAACTCTGTGAGTTGAACGCACACATCACAAAGCACTTTCTGAGAATGATTCTGTCTGGTTATTATACGAAGATATTTCCTTTTCTGCAATTGTCCTCAAATCGCTTGAAATCTCCACCTGAAAATGCCACAGCAAGAGTGTTTCAAATCTGCTCTCTCTAAAGCAAGGTTCAACTCTGTGAGTTGAATACACACAACACAAAAAAGTTACTGAGAACTCTTCTTAGTCTAGCATGAAAGGAAGAAACCCCGTTTGCAACGAAGGCCTCAAAGAGGTCCAAATATCCACTTGCAGACATAACAAGCAGAGTGTTTCTAAACTGCTCTAAGAAAAGAAAGGTTAAACTCTGTGAGTTGAAGGCACACATCACAAAGTAGTTTCTGAGAATGATTCTGTCTAGTTTTTAGTTTTTATTTGAAGATATTTCCTTTTCTACTGTTGGCATCAAATCGCTTGAAATCTCCACTTGCAAACTCCACAAAAAGAGTGTTTCAAATCTGCTCTGTGCAAAGGGACGTTCCACTCTGTGAGTTGAATACACACAGCACAAAGAAGTTACTGAGAATTCTTCTGTCTAGCATGAAATGAAGAAATCCCGTTTCCAACGAAGGCCTCAATGCGGTCCATATATCCACTTGCAGACTTTACAAACAGAGTGTTTCCAAACTGCTCTATGAAAAGAAAGGTTAAACTATGTGAGTTGAACGCACACATCACAAAGAATTTTCTGAGAATGATTCTGTCTGGTTTTTATTTGAAGATATTTCCCTTTCTACTGTTGGCATCAAATGGCTAGAAATCTCCACTTGCAAATTCCGCAAAAAGAGTGTTTCAAATCTGCTCTGTCTAAAGGGACGTTCCACTCTGTGAGTTGAATGCACACAACACAAAGAATTTACTGAGAATTCTTCCGTCTAGCATTCAATGAAGAAATCCCGTTTCCAACGAAGGCCTCAAACAGGTCCATATATCCACTTGCAGAGTTTACAAACAGTGTGTTTCCAAACTCCTCTATGAAAAGAAAGGTTAAACTCTGTGAGTGGAACGCACACATCACAAAGCACTTTCTGAGAATGATTCTGTCTGGTTATTATACGAAGATATTTCCTTTTCTGCAATTGTCCTCAAATCGCTTGAAATCTCCACCTGAAAATGCCACAGCAAGAGTGTTTCAAATCTGCTCTCTCTAAAGCAAGGTTCAACTCTGTGAGTTGAATACACACAACACAAAAATGTTACTGAGAACTCTTCTTAGTCTAGCATGAAAGGAAGAAACCCCGTTTGCAACGAAGGCCTCAAAGAGGTCCAAATATCCACTTGCAGACATAACAAGCAGAGTGTTTCTAAACTGCTCTAAGAAAAGAAAGGTTAAACTCTGTGAGTTGAAGGCACACATCACAAAGTAGTTTCTGAGAATGATTCTGTCTAGTTTTTATTTGAAGATATTTCCTTTTCTACTGTTGGCATCAAATCGCTTGAAATCTCCACTTGCAAACTCCACAAAAAGAGTGTTTCAAATCTGCTCTGTGTAAAGGGACGTTCCACTCTGTGAGTTGAATACACACAGCACAAAGAAGTTACTGAGAATTCTTCTGTCTAGCATGAAATGAAGAAATCCCGTTTCCAACGAAGGCCTCAATGCGGTCCATAGATCCACTTGCAGACTTTACAAACAGAGTGTTTCCAAACTGCTCTATGAAAAGAAAGGTTAAACTATGTGAGTTGAACGCACACATCACAAAGAATTTTCTGAGAATGATTCTGTCTGGTTTTTATTTGAAGATATTTCCCTTTCTACTGTTGGCATCAAATGGCTAGAAATCTCCACTTGCAAATTCCGCAAAAAGAGTGTTTCAAATCTGCTCTGTCTAAAGGGACGTTCCACTCTGTCAGTTGAATGCACACAACACAAAGAATTTACTGAGAATTCTTCCGTCTAGCATTCAATGAAGAAATCCCGTTTCCAACGAAGGCCTCAAACAGGTCCATATATCCACTTGCAGACTTTACAAACAGTGTGTTTCCAAACTCCTCTATGAAAAGAAAGGTTAAACTCTGTGAGTTGAACGCACACATCACAAAGCACTTTCTGAGAATGATTCTGTCTGGTTATTATACGAAGATATTTCCTTTTCTGCAATTGTCCTCAAATCGCTTGAAATCTCCACCTGAAAATGCCACAGCAAGAGTGTTTCAAATCTGCTCTCTCTAAAGCAAGGTTCAACTCTGTGAGTTGAATACACACAACACAAAAAAGTTACTGAGAACTCTTCTTAGTCTAGCATGAAAGGAAGAAACCCCGTTTGCAACGAAGGCCTCAAAGAGGTCCAAATATCCACTTGCAGACATAACAAGCAGAGTGTTTCTAAACTGCTCTAAGAAAAGAAAGGTTAAACTCTGTGAGTTGAAGGCACACATCACAAAGTAGTTTCTGAGAATGATTCTGTCTAGTTTTTATTTGAAGATATTTCCTTTTCTACTGTTGGCATCAAATCGCTTGAAATCTCCACTTGCAAACTCCACAAAAAGAGTGTTTCAAATCTGCTCTGTGTAAAGGGACGTTCCACTCTGTGAGTTGAATACACACAGCACAAAGAAGTTACTGAGAATTCTTCTGTCTAGCATGAAATGAAGAAATCCCGTTTCCAACGAAGGCCTCAATGCGGTCCATATATCCACTTGCAGACTTTACAAACAGAGTGTTTCCAAACTGCTCTATGAAAAGAAAGGTTAAACTATGTGAGTTGAACGCACACATCACAAAGAATTTTCTGAGAATGATTCTGTCTGGTTTTTATTTGAAGATATTTCCCTTTCTACTGTTGGCATCAAATGGCTAGAAATCTCCACTTGCAAATTCCGCAAAAAGAGTGTTTCAAATCTGCTCTGTCTAAAGGGACGTTCCACTCTGTGAGTTGAATGCACACAACACAAAGAATTTACTGAGAATTCTTCCGTCTAGCATTCAATGAAGAAATCCCGTTTCCAACGAAGGCCTCAAACAGGTCCATATATCCACTTGCAGACTTTACAAACAGTGTGTTTCCAAACTCCTCTATGGAAAGAAAGGTTAAACTCTGTGAGTTGAACGCGCACATCACAAAGCACTTTCTGAGAATGATTCTGTCTGGTTATTATACGAAGATATTTCCTTTTCTGCAATTGTCCTCAAAACGCTTGAAATCTCCACCTGAAAATGCCACAGCAAGAGTGTTTCAAATCTGCTCTCTCTAAAGCAAGGTTCAACTCTGTGAGTTGAATACACACAACACAAAAAAGTTACTGAGAACTCTTCTTAGTCTAGCATGAAAGGAAGAAATCCCGTTTGCAACGAAGGCCTCAAAGAGGTCCAAATATCCACTTGCAGACATAACAAGCAGAGTGTTTCTAAACTGCTCTAAGAAAAGAAAGGTTAAACTCTGTGAGTTGAAGGCACACATCACAAAGTAGTTTCTGAGAATGATTCTGTCTAGTTTTTATTTGAAGATATTTCCTTTTCCACTGTTGGCATCAAATCGCTTGAAATCTCCACTTGCAAACTCCACAAAAAGAGTCTTTCAAATCTGCTCTGTGTAAAGGGACGTTCCACTCCGTGAGTTGAATACACACAGCACAAAGAAGTTACTGAGAATTCTTCTGGCTAGCATGAAATGAAGAAATCCCGTTTCCAACGAAGGCCTCAATGCGGTCCATATATCCACTTGCAGACTTTACAAACAGAGTGTTTCCAAACTGCTCTATGAAAAGAAAGGTTAAACTATGTGAGTTGAACGCACACATCACAAAGAATTTTCTGAGAATGATTCTGTCTGGTTTTTATTTGAAGATATTTCCCTTTCTACTGTTGGCATCAAATGGCTAGAAATCTCCACTTGCAAATTCCGCAAAAAGAGTGTTTCAAATCTGCTCTGTCTAAAGGGACGTTCCACTCTGTGAGTTGAATGCACACAACACACAGAATTTACTGAGAATTCTTCCGTCTAGCATTCAATGAAGAAATCCCGTTTCCAACGAAGGCCTCAAACAGGTCCATATATCCACTTGCAGACTTTACAAACAGTGTGTTTCCAAACTCCTCTATGAAAAGAAAGGTTAAACTCTGTGAGTTGAACGCACACATCACAAAGCACTTTCTGAGAATGATTCTGTCTGGTTATTATACGAAGATATTTCCTTTTCTGCAATTATCCTCAAATCGCTTGAAATCTCCACCTGAAAATGCCACAGCAAGAGTGTTTCAAATCTGCTCTCTCTAAAGCAAGGTTCAACTCTGTGAGTTGAATACACACAACACAAAAAAGTTACTGAGGACTCTTCTTAGTCTAGCATGAAAGGAAGAAACCCCGTTTGCAAAGAAGGCCTCAAAGAGGTCCAAATATCCACTTGCAGACATAACAAGCAGAGTGTTTCTAAACTGCTCTAAGAAAAGAAAGGTTAAACTCTGTGAGTTGAAGGCACACATCACAAAGTAGTTTCTGAGAATGATTCTGTCTAGTTTTTATTTGAAGATATTTCCTTTTCTACTGCTGGCATCAAATCGCTTGAAATCTCCACTTGCAAACTCCACAAAAAGAGTGTTTCAAATCTGCTCTGTGTAAAGGGACGTTCCACTCTGTGAGTTGAATACACACAGCACAAAGAAGTTACTGAGAATTCTTCTGTCTCGCATGAAATGAAGAAATCCCGTTTCCAACGAAGGCCTCAATGCGGTCCATATATCCACTTGCAGACTTTACAAACAGAGTGTTTCCAAACTGCTCTATGAAAAGAAAGGTTAAACTATGTGAGTTGAACGCACACATCACAAAGAATTTTCTGAGAATGATTCTGTCTGGTTTTTATTTGAAGATATTTCCCTTTCTACTGTTGGCATCAAATGGCTAGAAATCTCCACTTGCAAATTCCGCAAAAAGAGTGTTTCAAATCTGCTCTGTCTAAAGGGACGTTCCACTCTGTGAGTTGAATGCACACAACACAAAGAATTTACTGAGAATTCTTCCGTCTAGCATTCAATGAAGAAATCCCGTTTCCAACGAAGGCCTCAAACAGGTCCATATATCCACTTGCAGACTTTACAAACAGTGTGTTACCAAACTCCTCTATGAAAAGAAAGGTTAAACTCTGTGAGTTGAACGCACACATCACAAAGCACTTTCTGAGAATGATTCTGTCTGGTTATTATACGAAGATATTTCCTTTTCTGCAGTTGTCCTCAAATCGCTTGAAATCTCCACCTGAAAATGCCACAGCAAGAGTGTTTCAAATCTGCTCTCTCTAAAGCAAGGTTCAACTCTGTGAGTTGAATACACACAACACAAAAAAGTTACTGAGAACTCTCCTTAGTCTAGCATGAAAGGAAGAAACCCCGTTTGCAACGAAGGCCTCAAAGAGGTCCAAATATCCACTTGCAGACATAACAAGCAGAGTGTTTCTAAACTGCTCTAAGAAAAGAAAGGTTAAACTCTGTGAGTTGAAGGCACACATCACAAAGTAGTTTCTGAGAATGATTCTGTCTAGTTTTTATTTGAAGATATTTCCTTTTCTACTGTTGGCATCAAATCGCTTGAAATCTTCACTTGCAAACTCCACAAAAAGAGTGTTTCAAATCTGCTCTGTGTAAAGGGACGTTCCACTCTGTGAGTTGAATACACACAGCACAAAGAAGTTGCTGAGAATTCTTCTGTCTAGCATGAAATGAAGAAATCCCGTTTCCAACGAAGGCCTCAATGCGGTCCATATATCCACTTGCAGACTTTACAAACAGAGTGTTTCCAAACTGCTCTATGAAAAGAAAGGTTAAACTATGTGAGTTGAACGCACACATCACAAAGAATTTTCTGAGAATGATTCTGTCTGGTTTTTATTTGAAGATATTTCCCTTTCTACTATTGGCATCAAATGGCTAGAAATCTCCACTTGCAAATTCCGCAAAAAGAGTGTTTCAAATCTGCTCTGTCTAAAGGGACGTTCCACTCTGTGAGTTGAATGCACACAACACGAAGAATTTACTGAGAATTCTTCCGTCTAGCATTCAATGAAGAAATCCCGTTTCCAACGAAGGCCTCAAACAGGTCCATATATCCAATTGCAGACTTTACAAACAGTGTGTTTCCAAACTCCTCTATGAAAAGAAAGGTTAAACTCTGTGAGTTGAACGCACACATCACAAAGCACTTTCTGAGAATGATTCTGTCTGGTTATTATACGAAGATATTTCCTTTTCTGCAATTGTCCTCAAATCGCTTGAAATCTCCACCTGAAAATGCCACAGCAAGAGTGTTTCAAATCTGCTCTCTCTAAAGCAAGGTTCAACTCTGTGAGTTGAATACACACAACACAAAAAAGTTACTGAGAACTCTTCTTAGTCTAGCATGAAAGGAAGAAACCCCGTTTGCAACGAAGGCCTCAAAGAGGTCCAAATATCCACTTGCAGACATAACAAGCAGAGTGTTTCTAAACTGCTCTAAGAAAAGAAAGGTTAAACTCTGTGAGTTGAAGGCACACATCACAAAGTAGTTTCTGAGAATGATTCTGTCTAGTTTTTATTTGAAGATATTTCCTTTTCTACTGTTGGCATCAAATCGCTTGAAATCTCCACTTGCAAATTCCACAAAAAGAGTGTTTCAAATCTGCTCTGTGCAAAGGGACGTTCCACTCTGTGAGTTGAATACACACAGCACAAAGAAGTTACTGAGAATTCTTCTGTCTAGCATGAAATGAAGAAATCCCGTTTCCAACGAAGGCCTCAATGCGGTCCATATATCCACTTGCAGACTTTACAAACAGAGTGTTTCCAAACTGCTCTATGAAAAGAAAGGTTAAACTATGTGAGTTGAACGCACACATCACAAAGAATTTTCTGAGAATGATTCTGTCTGGTTTTTATTTGAAAATATTTCCCTTTCTACTGTTGGCATCAAATGGCTAGAAATCTCCACTTGCAAATTCCGCAAAAAGAGTGTTTCAAATCTGCTCTGTCTAAAGGGACGTTCCACTCTGTGAGTTGAATGCACACAACACAAAGAATTTACTGAGAATTCTTCCGTCTAGCATTCAATGAAGAAATCCCGTTTCCAACGAAGGCCTCAAAGAGGTCCATATATCCACTTGCAGACTTTACAAACAGTGTGTTTCCAAACTCCTCTATGAAAAGAAAGGTTAAACTCTGTGAGTGGAACGCACACATCACAAAGCACTTTCTGAGAATGATTTTGTCTGGTTATTATACGAAGATATTTCCTTTTCTGCAATTGTCCTCAAATCGCTTGAAATCTCCACCTGAAAATGCCACAGCAAGAGTGTTTCAAATCTGCTCTCTCTAAAGCAAGGTTCAACTCTGTGAGTTGAATACACACAACACAAAAAAGTTACTGAGAACTCTTCTTAGTCTAGCATGAAAGGAAGAAACCCCGTTTGCAACGAAGGCCTCAAAGAGGTCCAAATATCCACTTGCAGACATAACAAGCAGAGTGTTTCTAAACTGCTCTAAGAAAAGAAAGGTTAAACTCTGTGAGTTGAAGGCACACATCACAAAGTAGTTTCTGAGAATGATTCTGTCTAGTTTTTATTTGAAGATATTTCCTTTTCTACTGTTGGCATCAAATCGCTTGAAATCTCCACTTGCAAATTCCACAAAAAGAGTGTTTCAAATCTGCTCTGTGCAAAGGGACGTTCCACTCTGTGAGTTGAATACACACAGCACAAAGAAGTTACTGAGAATTCTTCTGTCTAGCATGAAATGAAGAAATCCCGTTTCCAACGAAGGCCTCAATGCGGTCCATATATCCACTTGCAGACTTTACAAACAGAGTGTTTCCAAACTGCTCTATGAAAAGAAAGGTTAAACTATGTGAGTTGAACGCACACATCACAAAGAATTTTCTGAGAATGATTCTGTCTGGTTTTTATTTGAAGATATTTCCCTTTCTACTGTTGGCATCAAATGGCTAGAAATCTCCACTTGCAAATTCCGCAAAAAGAGTGTTTCAAATCTGCTCTGTCTAAAGGGACGTTCCACTCTGTCAGTTGAATGCACACAACACAAAGAATTTACTGAGAATTCTTCCGTCTAGCATTCAATGAAGAAATCCCGTTTCCAAAGAAGGCCTCAAACAGGTCCATATATCCAATTGCAGACTTTACAAACAGTGTGTTTCCAAACTCCTCTATGAAAAGAAAGGTTAAACTCTGTGAGTTGAACGCACACATCACAAAGCACTTTCTGAGAATGATTCTGTCTGGTTATTATACGAAGATATTTCCTTTTCTGCAATTGTCCTCAAATCGCTTGAAATCTCCACCTGAAAATGCCACAGCAAGAGTGTTTCAAATCTGCTCTCTCTAAAGCAAGGTTCAACTCTGTGAGTTGAATACACACAACACAAAAAAGTTACTGAGAACTCTTCTTAGTCTAGCATGAAAGGAAGAAACCCCGTTTGCAACGAAGGCCTCAAAGAGGTCCAAATATCCACTTGCAGACATAACAAGCAGAGTGTTTCTAAACTGCTCTAAGAAAAGAAAGGTTAAACTCTGTGAGTTGAAGGCACACATCACAAAGTAGTTTCTGAGAATGATTCTGTCTAGTTTTTATTTGAAGATATTTCCTTTTCTACTGTTGGCATCAAATCGCTTGAAATATCCACTTGCAAACTCCACAAAAAGAGTGTTTCAAATCTGCTCTGTGCAAAGGGACGTTCCACTCTGTGAGTTGAATACACACAGCACAAAGAAGTTACTGAGAATTCTTCTGTCTAGCATGAAATGAAGAAATCCCGTTTCCAACGAAGGCCTCAATGCGGTCTATATATCCACTTGCAGACATCACAAACAGAGTGTTTCCAAACTGCTCTATGAAAAGAAAGGTTAAACTATGTGAGTTGAACGCACACATCACAAAGAATTTTCTGAGAATGATTCTGTCTGGTTTTTATTTGAAGATATTTCCCTTTCTACTGTTGGCATCAAATGGCTAGAAATCTCCACTTGCAAATTCCGCAAAAAGAGTGTTTCAAATCTGCTCTGTCTAAAGGGACGTTCCATTCTGTGAGTTGAATGCACACAACACAAAGAATTTACTGAGAATCCTTCCGTCTAGCATTCAATGAAAGAAATCCCGTTTCCAACGAAGGCCTCAAACAGGTCCATATATCCAATTGCAGACTTTACAAACAGTGTGTTTCCAAACTCCTCTATGAAAAGAAAGGTTAAACTCTGTGAGTTGAACGCACACATCACAAAGCACTTTCTGAGAATGATTCTGTCTGGTTGTTATACGAAGATATTTCCTTTTCTGCAATTGTCCTCAAATCGCTTGAAATCTCCACCTGAAAATGCCACAGCAAGAGTGTTTCAAATCTGCTCTCTCTAAAGCAAGGTTCAACTCTGTGAGTTGAATACACACAACACAAAAAAGTTACTGAGAACTCTTCTTAGTCTAGCATGAAAGGAAGAAACCCCGTTTGCAACGAAGGCCTCAAAGAGGTCCAAATATCCACTTGCAGACATAACAAGCAGAGTGTTTCTAAACTGCTCTAAGAAAAGAAAGGTTAAACTCTGTGAGTTGAAGGCACACATCACAAAGTAGTTTCTGAGAATGATTCTGTCTAGTTTTTATTTGAAGATATTTCCTTTTCTACTGTTGGCATCAAATCGCTTGAAATCTCCACTTGCAAATTCCACAAAAAGAGTGTTTCAAATCTGTTCTGTGTAAAAGAACGTTCCACTCTGTGAGTTGAATACACACAGCACAAAGAAGTTACTGAGAATTCTTCTGTCTAGCATGAAATGAAGAAATCCCGTTTCCAACGAAGGCCTCAATGCGGTCCATATATCCACTTGCAGACTTTACAAACAGAGTGTTTCCAAACTGCTCTATGAAAAGAAAGGTTAAACTATGTGAGTTGAACGCACACATCACAAAGAATTTTCTGAGAATGATTCTGTCTGGTTTTTATTTGAAGATATTTCCCTTTCTACTGTTGGCATCAAATGGCTAGAAATCTCCACTTGCAAATTCCGCAAAAAGAGTGTTTCAAATCTGCTCTGTCTAAAGGGACGTTCCACTCTGTGAGTTGAATGCACACAACACAAAGAATTTACTGAGAATTCTTCCGTCTAGCATTCAATGAAGAAATCCCGTTTCCAACGAAGGCCTCAAACAGGTCCATATATCCACTTGCAGAGTTTACAAACAGTGTGTTTCCAAACTCCTCTATGAAAAGAAAGGTTAAACTCTGTGAGTGGAACGCACACATCACAAAGCACTTTCTGAGAATGATTCTGTCTGGTTATTATACGAAGATATTTCCTTTTCTGCAATTGTCCTCAAATCGCTTGAAATCTCCACCTGAAAATGCCACAGCAAGAGTGTTTCAAATCTGCTCTCTCTAAAGCAAGGTTCAACTCTGTGAGTTGAATACACACAACACAAAAAAGTTACTGAGAACTCTTCTTAGTCTAGCATGAAAGGAAGAAACCCCGTTTGCAACGAAGGCCTCAAAGAGGTCCAAATATCCACTTGCAGACATAACAAGCAGAGTGTTTCTAAACTGCTCTAAGAAAAGAAAGGTTAAACTCTGTGAGTTGAACGCACACATCACAAAGTAGTTTCTGAGAATGATTCTGTCTAGTTTTTATTTGAAGATATTTCCTTTTCTACTGTTGGCATCAAATCGCTTGCAATCTCCACTTGTAAATTCCACAAAAAGAGTGTTTCAAATCTGCTCTGTGCAAAGGGACGTTCCACTCTGTGAGTTGAATACACACAGCACAAAGAAGTTACTGAGAATTCTTCTGTCTAGCATGAAATGAAGAAATCCCGTTTCCAACGAAGGCCTCAATGCGGTCCATATATCCACTTGCAGACTTTACAAACAGAGTGTTTCCAAACTGCTCTATGAAAAGAAAGGTTAAACTATGTGAGTTGAACGCACACATCACAAAGAATTTTCTGAGAATGATTCTGTCTGGTTTTTATTTGAAGATATTTCCCTTTCTACTGTTGGCATCAAATGGCTAGAAATCTCCACTTGCAAATTCCGCAAAAAGAGTGTTTCAAATCTGCTCTGTCTAAAGGGACGTTCCACTCTGTGAGTTGAATGCACACAACACAAAGAATTTACTGAGAATTCTTCCGTCTAGCATTCAATGAAGAAATCCCGTTTCCAACGGAGGCCTCAAACAGGTCCATATATCCAATTGCAGACTTTACAAACAGTGTGTTTCCAAACTCCTCTATGAAAAGAAAGGTTAAACTCTGTGAGTTGAACGCACACATCACAAAGCACTTTCTGAGAATGATTCTGTCTGGTTATTATACGAAGATATTTCCTTTTCTGCAATTGTCCTCAAATCGCTTGAAATCTCCACCTGAAAATGCCACAGCAAGAGTGTTTCAAATCTGCTCTCTCTAAAGCAAGGTTCAACTCTGTGAGTTGAATACACACAACACAAAAAAGTTACTGAGAACTCTTCTTAGTCTAGCATGAAAGGAAGAAACCCCGTTTGCAACGAAGGCCTCAAAGAGGTCCAAATATCCACTTGCAGACATAACAAGCAGAGTGTTTCTAAACTGCTCTAAGAAAAGAAAGGTTAAACTCTGTGAGTTGAAGGCACACATCACAAAGTAGTTTCTGAGAATGATTCTGTCTAGTTTTTATTTGAAGATATTTCCTTTTCTACTGTTGGCATCAAATCGCTTGAAATCTCCACTTGCAAACTCCACAAAAAGAGTGTTTCAAATCTGCTCTGTGCAAAGGGACGTTCCACTCTGTGAGTTGAATACACACAGCACAAAGAAGTTACTGAGAATTCTTCTGTCTAGCATGAAATGAAGAAATCCCGTTTCCAACGAAGGCCTCAATGCGGTCCATATATCCACTTGCAGACTTTACAGAGTGTTTCCAAACTGCTCTATGAAAAGAAAGGTTAAACTATGTGAGTTGAACGCACACATCACAAAGAATTTTCTGAGAATGATTCTGTCTGGTTTTTATTTGAAGATATTTCCCTTTCTACTGTTGGCATCAAATGGCTAGAAATCTCCACTTGCAAATTCCGCAAAAAGAGTGTTTCAAATCTGCTCTGTCTAAAGGGACGTTCCACTCTGTGAGTTGAATGCACACCACACAAAGAATTTACTGAGAATTCTTCCGTCTAGCATTCAATGAAGAAATCCCGTTTCCAACGAAGGCCTCAAACAGGTCCATATATCCAATTGCAGACTTTACAAACTGTGTGTTTCCAAACTCCTCTATGAAAAGAAAGGTTAAACTCTGTGAGTTGAACGCACACATCACAAAGCACTTTCTGAGAATGATTCTGTCTGGTTATTATACGAAGATATTTCCTTTTCTGCAATTGTCCTCAAATCGTTTGAAATCTCCACCTGAAAATGCCACAGCAAGAGTGTTTCAAATCTGCTCTCTCTAAAGCAAGGTTCAACTCTGTGAGTTGAATACACACAACACAAAAAAGTTACTGAGAACTCTTCTTAGTGTAGCATGAAAGGAAGAAACCCCGTTTGCAACGAAGGCCTCAAAGAGGTCCAAATATCCACTTGCAGACATAACAAGCAGAGTGTTTCAAAACTGCTCTATGAAAAGAAAGGTTAAACTCTGTGAGTTGAAGGCACACATCACAAAGTAGTTTCTGAGAATGATTCTGTCTAGTTTTTATTTGAAGATATTTCCTTTTCTACTGTTGGCATCAAATCGCTTGAAATCTCCACTTGCAAACTCCACAAAAAGAGTGTTTCAAATCTGCTCTGTGTAAAGGGACGTTCCACTCTGTGAGTTGAATACACACAGCACAAAGAAGTTACTGAGAATTCTTCTGTCTAGCATGAAATGAAGAAATCCCGTTTCCAACGAAGGCCTCAATGCGGTCCATATATCCACTTGCAGACTTTACAAACAGAGTGTTTCCAAACTGCTCTATGAAAAGAAAGGTTAAACTATGTGAGTTGAATGCACACATCACAAAGAATTTTCTGAGAATGATTCTGTCTGGTTTTTATTTGAAGATATTTCCCTTTCTACTGTTGGCATCAAATGGCTAGAAATCTCCACTTGCAAATTCCGCAAAAAGAGTGTTTCAAATCTGCTCTGTCTAAAGGGACGTTCCACTCTGTGAGTTGAATGCACACAACATAAAGAATTTACTGAGAATTCTTCCGTCTAGCAGTCAATGAAGAAATCCCGTTTCCAACGAAGGCCTCAAACAGGTCCATATATCCAATTGCAGACTTTACAAACAGTGTGTTTCCAAACTCCTCTATGAAAAGAAAGGTTAAACTCTGTGAGTTGAACGCACACATCACAAAGCACTTTCTGAGAATGATTCTGTCTGGTTGTTATACCGAAGATATTTCCTTTTCTGCAATTGTCCTCAAATCGCTTGAAATCTCCACCTGAAAATGCCACAGCAAGAGTGTTTCTAATCTGCTCTCTCTAAAGCAAGGTTCAACTCTGTGAGTTGAATACACACAACACAAAAAAGTTACTGAGAACTCTTCTTAGTCTAGCATGAAAGGAAGAAACCCCGTTTGCAACGAAGGCCTCAAAGAGGTCCAAATATCCACTTGCAGACATAACAAGCAGAGTGTTTCTAAACTGCTCTAAGAAAAGAAAGGTTAAACTCTGTGAGTTGAAGGCACACATCACAAAGTAGTTTCTGAGAATGATTCTGTCTAGTTTTTATTTGAAGATATTTCCTTTTCTACTGTTGGCATCAAATCGCTTGAAATCTCCACTTGCAAACTCCACAAAAAGAGTGTTTCAAATCTGCTCTGTGCAAAGGGACGTTCCACTCTGTGAGTTGAACACACACAGCACAAAGAAGTTACTGAGAATTCTTCTGTCTAGCATGAAATGAAGAAATCCCGTTTCCAACGAAGGCCTCAATGCGGTCCATATATCCACTTGCAGACTTTACAAACAGAGTGTTTCCAAACTGCTCTATGAAAAGAAAGGTTAAACTATGTGAGTTGAACGCACACATCACAAAGAATTTTCTGAGAATGATTCTGTCTGGTTTTTATTTGAAGATATTTCCCTTTCTACTGTTGGCATCAAATGGCTAGAAATCTCCACTTGCAAATTCCGCAAAAAGAGTGTTTCAAATCTGCTCTGTCTAAAGGGACGTTCCACTCTGTGAGTTGAATGCACACAACACAAAGAATTTACTGAGAATTCTTCCGTCTAGCATTCAATGAAGAAATCCCGTTTCCAACGAAGGCCTCAAACAGGTCCATATATCCACTTGCAGAGTTTACAAACAGTGTGTTTCCAAACTCCTCTATGAAAAGAAAGGTTAAACTCTGTGAGTGGAACGCACACATCACAAAGCACTTTCTGAGAATGATTCTGTCTGGTTGTTATACGAAGATATTTCCTTTTCTGTAATTGTCCTCAAATCGCTTGAAATCTCCACCTGAAAATGCCACAGCAAGAGTGTTTCAAATCTGCTCTCTCTAAAGCAAGGTTCAACTCTGTGAGTTGAATACACACAACACAAAAAAGTTACTGAGAACTCTTCTTAGTCTAGCATTAAAGGAAGAAACCCCGTTTGCAACGAAGGCCTCAAAGAGGTCCAAATATCCACTTGCAGACATAACAAGCAGAGTGTTTCTAAACTGCTCTAAGAAAAGAAAGGTTAAACTCTGTGAGTTGAAGGCACACATCACAAAGTAGTTTCTGAGAATGATTCTGTCTAGTTTTTATTTGAAGATATTTCCTTTTCTACTGTTGGCATCAAATCGCTTGAAATCTCCACTTGCAAACTCCACAAAAAGAGTGTTTCAAATCTGCTCTGTGTAAAGGGACGTTCCACTCTGTGAGTTGAATACACACAGCACAAAGAAGTTACTGAGAATTCTTCTGTCTAGCATGAAATGAAGAAATCCCGTTTCCAACGAAGGCCTCAATGCGGTCCATATATCCACTTGCAGACTTTACAAACAGAGTGTTTCCAAACTGCTCTATGAAAAGAAAGGTTAAACTATGTGAGTTGAACGCACACATCACAAAGAATTTTCTGAGAATGATTCTGTCTGGTTTTTATTTGAAGATATTTCCCTTTCTACTGTTGGCATCAAATGGCTAGAAATCTCCACTTGCAAATTCCGCAAAAAGAGTGTTTCAAATCTGCTCTGTCTAAAGGGACGTTCCACTCTGTCAGTTGAATGCACACAACACAAAGAATTTACTGAGAATTCTTCCGTCTAGCATTCAATGAAGAAATCCCGTTTCCAACGAAGGCCTCAAACAGGTCCATATATCCACTTGCAGAGTTTACAAACAGTGTGTTTCCAAACTCCTCTATGAAAAGAAAGGTTAAACTCTGTGAGTGGAACGCACACATCACAAAGCACTTTCTGAGAATGATTCTGTCTGGTTATTATACGAAGATATTTCCTTTTCTGCAATTGTCCTCAAATCGCTTGAAATCTCCACCTGAAAATGCCACAGCAAGAGTGTTTCAAATCTGTTCTCTCTAAAGCAAGGTTCAACTCTGTGAGTTGAATACACACAACACAAAAAAGTTACTGAGAACTCTTCTTAGTCTAGCATGAAAGGAAAAAACCCCGTTTGCAACGAAGGCCTCAAAGAGGTCCAAATATCCACTTGCAGACATAACAAGCAGAGTGTTTCTAAACTGCTCTAAGAAAAGAAAGGTTAAACTCTGTGAGTTGAAGGCACACATCACAAAGTAGTTTCTGAGAATGGTTCTGTCTAGTTTTTATTTGAAGATATTTCCTTTTCTACTGTTGGCATCAAATCGCTTGAAATCTCCACTTGCAAATTCCACAAAAAGAGTGTTTCAAATCTGCTCTGTGCAAACGGACGTTCCAGTCTGTGAGTTGAATACACACAGCACAGAGAAGTTACTGAGAATTCTTCTGTCTAGCATGAAATGAAGAAATCCCGTTTCCAACGAAGGCCTCAATGCGGTCCATATATCCACTTGCAGACTTTACAAACAGAGTGTTTCCAAACTGCTCTATGAAAAGAAAGGTTAAACTATGTGAGTTGAACGCACACATCACAAAGAATTTTCTGAGAATGATTCTGTCTGGTTTTTATTTGAAGATATTTCCCTTTCTACTGTTGGCATCAAATGGCTAGAAATCTCCACTTGCAAATTCCGCAAAAAGAGTGTTTCAAATCTGCTCTGTCTAAAGGGACGTTCCACTCTGTGAGTTGAATGCACACAACACAAAGAATTTACTGAGAATTCTTCCGTCTAGCATTCAATGAAGAAATCCCGTTTCCAACGAAGGCCTCAAACAGGTCCATATATCCACTTGCAGACTTTACAAACAGTGTGTTTCCAAACTCCTCTATGAAAAGAAAGGTTAAACTCTGTGAGTTGAACGCACACATCACAAAGCACTTTCTGAGAATGATTCTGTCTGGTTATTATACGAAGATATTTCCTTTTCTGCAATTGTCCTCAAATCGTTTGAAATCTCCACCTGAAAATGCCACAGCAAGAGTGTTTCAAATCTGCTCTCTCTAAAGCAAGGTTCAACTCTGTGAGTTGAATACACACAACACAAAAAAGTTACTGAGAACTCTTCTTAGTCTAGCATTAAAGGAAGAAACCCCGTTTGCAACGAAGGCCTCAAAGAGGTCCAAATATCAACTTGCAGACATAACAAGCAGAGTGTTTCTAAGCTGCTCTAAGAAAAGAAAGGTTAAACTCTGTTAGTTGAAGGCACACATCACAAAGTAGTTTCTGAGAATGATTCTGTCTAGTTTTTATTTGAAGATACTTCCTTTTCTACTGTTGGCATCAAATCGCTTGAAATCTCCACTTGCAAACTCCACAAAACGAGTGTTTCAAATCTGCTCTGTGTAAAGGGACGTTCCACTCTGTGAGTTGAATACACACAGCACAAAGAAGTTACTGAGAATTCTTCTGTCTAGCATGAAATGAAGAAATCCCGTTTCCAACGAAGGCCTCAATGCGGTCCATAGATCCACTTGCAGACTTTACAAACAGAGTGTTTCCAAACTGCTCTATGAAAAGAAAGGTTAAACTATGTGAGTTGAACGCACACATCACAAAGAATTTTCTGAGAATGATTCTGTCTGGTTTTTATTTGAAGATATTTCCCTTTCTACTGTTGGCATCAAATGGCTAGAAATCTCCACTTGCAAATTCCACAAAAAGAGTGTTTCAAATCTGCTCTGTCTAAAAGGGACGTTCCACTCTGTGAGTTGAATGCACACAACACAAAGAATTTACTGAGAATTCTTCCGTCTAGCATTCAATGAAGAAATCCCGTTTCCAACGAAGGCCTCAAACAGGTCCATATATCCACTTGCAGACTTTACAAACAGTGTGTTTCCAAACTCCTCTATGAAAAGAAAGGTTAAACTCTGTGAGTGGAACGCACACATCACAAAGCACTTTCTGAGAATGATTCTGTCTGGTTGTTATACGAAGATATTTCCTTTTCTGTAATTGTCCTCAAATCGCTTGAAATCTCCACCTGAAAATGCCACAGCAAGAGTGTTTCAAATCTGCTCTCTCTAAAGCAAGGTTCAACTCTGTGAGTTGAATACACACAACACAAAAAAGTTACTGAGAACTCTTCTTAGTCTAGCATTAAAGGAAGAAACCCCGTTTGCAACGAAGGCCTCAAAGAGGTCCAAATATCCACTTGCAGACATAACAAGCAGAGTGTTTCTAAACTGCTCTAAGAAAAGAAAGGTTAAACTCTGTGAGTTGAAGGCACACATCACAAAGTAGTTTCTAAATGATTCTGTCTAGTTTTTATTTGAAGATATTTCCTTTTCTACTGTTGGCATCAAATCGCTTGAAATCTCCACTTGCAAATTCCACAAAGAGTGTTTCAAATCTGCTCTGTGCAAAGGGACGTTCCACTCTGTGAGTTGAATACACACAGCACAAAGAAGTTACTGAGAATTCTTCTGTCTAGCATGAAATGAAGAAATCCCGTTTCCAACGAAGGCCTCAATGCGGTCCATAGATCCACTTGCAGACTTTACAAACAGAGTGTTTCCAAACTGCTCTATGAAAAGAAAGGTTAAACTATGTGAGTTGAACGCACACATCACAAAGAATTTTCTGAGAATGATTCTGTCTGGTTTTTATTTGAAGATATTTCCCTTTCTACTGTTGGCATCAAATGGCTAGAAATCTCCACTTGCAAATTCCGCAAAAGAGTGTTTCAAATCTGCTCTGTCTAAAGGGACGTTCCACTCTGTGAGTTGAATGCACACAACACAAAGAATTTACTGAGAATTCTTCCGTCTAGCATTCAATGAAGAAATCCAGTTTCCAACGAAGGCCTCAAAGAGGTCCATATATCCACTTGCAGACTTTACAAACAGTGTGTTTCCAAACTCCTCTATGAAAAGAAAGGTTAAACTCTGTGAGTGGAACGCACACATCACAAAGCACTTTCTGAGAATGATTCTGTCTGGTTATTATACGAAGATATTTCCGTTTCTGCAATTGTCCTCAAATCGCTTGAAATCTCCACCTGAAAATGCCACAGCCAGAGTGTTTCAAATCTGCTCTCTCTAAAGCAAGGTTCAACTCTGTGAGTTGAATACACACAACACAAAAAAGTTACTGAGAACTCTTCTTAGTCTAGCATGAAAGGAAGAAACCCCGTTTGCAACGAAGGCCTCAAAGAAGGTCCAAATATCCACTTGCAGACATAACAAGCAGAGTGTTTCTAAACTGCTCTAAGAAAAGAAAGGTTAAACTCTGTGAGTTGAAGGCAGACATCACAAAGTAGTTTCTGAGAATGATTCTGTCTAGTTTTTATTTGAAGATATTTCCTTTTCTACTGTTGGCATCAAATCGCTTGAAATCTCCACTTGCAAACTCCACAAAAAGAGTGTTTCAAATCTGCTCTGTGCAAAGGGACGTTCCACTCTGTGAGTTGAATACACACAGCACAAAGAAGTTACTGAGAATTCTTCTGTCTAGTATGAAATGAAGAAATCCCGTTTCCAACGAAGGCCTCAATGCGGTCCATATATCCACTTGCAGACTTTACAAACAGAGTGTTTCCAAACTGCTCTATGAAAAGAAAGGTTAAACTATGTGAGTTGAACGCACACATCACAAAGAATTTTCTGAGAATGATTCTGTCTGGTTTTTATTTGAAGATATTTCCCTTTCTACTGTTGGCATCAAATGGCTAGAAATCTCCACTTGCAAATTCCGCAAAAGGAGTGTTTCAAATCTGCTCTGTCTAAAGGGACGTTCCACTCTGTGAGTTGAATGCACACAACACAAAGAATTTACTGAGAATTCTTCCGTCTAGCATTCAATGAAGAAATCCCGTTTCCTACGAAGGCCTCAAACAGGTCCATATATCCAATTGCAGACTTTACAAACAGTGTGTTTCCAAACTCCTCTATGAAAAGAAAGGTTAAACTCTGTGAGTTGAACGCACACATCACAAAGCACTTTCTGAGAATGATTCTGTCTGGTTATTATACGAAGATATTTCCTTTTCTGCAATTGTCCTCAAATCGCTTGAAATCTCCACCTGAAAATTCCACAGCGAGAGTGTTTCAAATCTGCTCTCTCTAAAGCAAGGTTCAACTCTGTGAGTTGAATACACACAACACAAAAAAGTTACTGAGAACTCTTCTTAGTCTAGCATTAAAGGAAGAAACCCCGTTTGCAACGAAGGCCTCAAAGAGGTCCAAATATCCACTTGCAGACATAACAAGCAGAGTGTTTCTAAACTGCTCTAAGAAAAGAAAGGTTAAACTCTGTGAGTTGAAGGCACACATCACAAAGTAGTTTCTGAGAATGATTCTGTCTAGTTTTTATTTGAAGATATTTCATTTTCTACTGTTGGCATCAAATCGCTTGAAATCTCCACTTGCAAACTCCACAAAAAGAGTGTTTCAAATCTGCTCTGTGTAAAGGGACGTTCCACTCTGTGAGTTGAATACACACAGCACAAAGAAGTTACTGAGAATTCTTCTGTCTAGCATGAAAGGAAGAAATCCCGTTTCCAACGAAGGCCTCAATGCGGTCCATATATCCACTTGCAGACTTTACAAACAGAGTGTTTCCAAACTGCTCTATGAAAAGAAAGGTTAAACTATGTGAGTTGAAAGCACACATCACAAAGAATTTTCTGAGAATGATTCTGTCTGGTTTTTATTTGAAGATATTTCCCTTTCTACTGTTGGCATCAAATGGCTAGAAATCTCCACTTGCAAATTCCGCAAAAAGAGTGTTTCAAATCTGCTCTGTCTAAAGGGACGTTCCACTCTGTGAGTTGAATGCACACAACACAAAGAATTTACTGAGAATTCTTCCGTCTAGCATTCAATGAAGAAATCCCGTTTCCAACGAAGGCCTCAAACAGGTCCATATATCCAATTGCAGACTTTACAAACAGTGTGTTTCCAAACTCCTCTATGAAAAGAAAGGTTAAACTCTGTGAGTTGAACGCACACATCACAAAGCACTTTCTGAGAATGATTCTGTCTGGTTATTATACGAAGATATTTCCTTTTCTGCAATTGTCCTCAAATCGCTTGAAATCTCCACCTGAAAATGCCACAGCAAGAGTGTTTCAAATCTGCTCTCTCTAAAGCAAGGTTCAACTCTGTGAGTTGAATACACACAACACAAAAAAGTTACTGAGAACTCTTCTTAGTCTAGCATTAAAGGAAGAAACCCCGTTTGCAACGAAGGCCTCAAAGAGGTCCAAATATCCACTTGCAGACATAACAAGCAGAGTGTTTCTAAACTGCTCTAAGAAAAGAAAGGTTAAACTCTGTGAGTTGAAGGCACACATCACAAAGTAGTTTCTGAGAATGATTCCTGTCTAGTTTTTATTTGAAGATATTTCCTTTTCTACTGTTGGCATCAAATCGCTTGAAATCTCCAATTGCAAACTCCACAAAAAGAGTGTTTCAAATCTGCTCTGTGCAAAGGGACGTTCCACTCTGTGAGTTGAATACACACAGCACAAAGAAGTTACTGAGAATTCTTCTGTCTAGCATGAAATGAAGAAATCCCGTTTCCAACGAAGGCCTCAATGCGGTCCATATATCCACTTGCAGACTTTACAAACAGAGTGTTTCCAAACTGCTCTATGAAAAGAAAGGTTAAACTATGTGAGTTGAACGCACACATCACAAAGAATTTTCTGAGAATGATTCTGTCTGGTTTTTATTTGAAGATGTTTCCCTTTCTACTGTTGGCATCAAATGGCTAGAAATCTCCACTTGCAAATTCCGCAAAAAGAGTGTTTCAAATCTGCTCTGTCTAAAGGGACGTTCCACTCTGTGAGTTGAATGCACACAACACAAAGAATTTACTGAGAATTCTTCCGTCTAGCATTCAATGAAGAAATCCCGTTTCCAACGAAGGCCTCAAACAGGTCCATATATCCAATTGCAGACTTTACAAACAGTGTGTTTCCAAACTCCTCTATGGAAAGAAAGGTTGAACTCTGTGAGTTGAACGCACACATCACAAAGCACTTTCTGAGAATGATTCTGTCTGGTTATTATACGAAGATATTTCCTTTTCTGCAATTGTCCTCAAATCGCTTGAAATCTCCACCTGAAAATGCCACAGCAAGAGTGTTTCAAATCTGCTCTCTCTAAAGCAAGGTTCAACTCTGTGAGTTGAATACACACAACACAAAAAAGTTACTGAGAACTCTTCTTAGTCTAGCAGTAAAGGAAGAAACGCCGTTTGCAACGAAGGCCTCAAAGAGGTCCAAATATCCACTTGCAGACATAACAAGCAGAGTGTTTCTAAACTGCTCTAAGAAAAGAAAGGTTAAACTCTGTGAGTTGAAGGCACACATCACAAAGTAGTTTCTGAGAATGATTCTGTCTAGTTTTTATTTGAAGATATTTCCTTTTCTACTGTTGGCATCAAATCGCTTGAAATCTCCACTTGCAAATTCCACAAAAAGAGTGTTTCAAATCTGCTCTGTGCAAAGGGACGTTCCACTCTGTGAGTTGAATACACACAGCACAAAGAAGTTACTGAGAATTCTTCTGTCTAGCATGAAATGAAGAAATCCCGTTTCCAACGAAGGCCTCAATGCGGTCCATATATCCACTTGCAGACTTTACAAACAGAGTGTTTCCAAACTGCTCTATGAAAAGAAAGGTTAAACTATGTGAGTTGAACGCACACATCACAAAGAATTTTCTGAGAATGATTCTGTCTGGTTTTTATTTGAAGATATTTCCCTTTCTACTGTTGGCATCAAATGGCTAGAAATCTCCACTTGCAAATTCCGCAAAAAGAGTGTTTCAAATCTGCTCTGTCTAAAGGGACATTCCACTCTGTGAGTTGAATGCACACAACACAAAGAATTTACTGAGAATTCTTCCGTCTAGCATTCAATGAAGAAATCCCGTTTCCAAAGAAGGCCTCAAACAGGTCCATATATCCAATTGCAGACTTTACAAACAGTGTGTTTCCAAACTCCTCTATGAAAAGAAAGGTTAAACTCTGTGAGTTGAACGCACACATCACAAAGCACTTTCTGAGAATGATTCTGTCTGGTTATTATACGAAGATATTTCCTTTTCTGCAATTGTCCTCAAATCGCTTGAAATCTCCACCTGAAAATGCCACAGCAAGAGTGTTTCAAATCTGCTCTCTCTAAAGCAAGGTTCAACTCTGTGAGTTGAATACACACAACACAAAAAAGTTACTGAGAACTCTTCTTAGTCTAGCATGAAAGGAAGAAACCCCGTTTGCAACGAAGGCCTCAAAGAGGTCCAAATATCCACTTGCAGACATAACAAGCAGAGTGTTTCTAAACTGCTCTAAGAAAAGAAAGGTTAAACTCTGTGAGTTGAAGGCACACATCACAAAGTAGTTTCTGAGAATGATTCTGTCTAGTTTTTATTTGAAGATATTTCCTTTTCTACTGTTGGCATCAAATCGCTTGAAATCTCCACTTGCAAATTCAACAAAAAGAGTGTTTCAAATCTGCTCTGTGTAAAGGGACGTTCCACTCTGTGAGTTGAATACACACAGCACAAAGAAGCTACTGAGAATTCTTCTGTCTAGCATGAAATGAAGAAATCCCGTTTCCAACGAAGGCCTCAATGCGGTCAATATATCCACTTGCAGACATCACAAACAGAGTGTTTCCAAACTGCTCTATGAAAAGAAAGGTTAAACTATGTGAGTTGAACGCACACATCACAAAGAATTTTCTGAGAATGATTCTGTCTGGTTTTTATTTGAAGATATTTCCCTTTCTACTGTTGGCATCAAATGGCTAGAAATCTCCACTTGCAAATTCCGCAAAAAGAGTGTTTCAAATCTGCTCTGTCTAAAGGGACGTTCCACTCTGTGAGTTGAATGCACACAACACAAAGAATTTACTGAGAATTCTTCCGCCTAGCATTCAATGAAGAAATCCCGTTTCCAACGAAGGCCTCAAACAGGTCCATATATCCACTTGCAGACTTTACAAACAGTGTGTTTCCAAACTCCTCTATGAAAAGAAAGGTTAAACTCTGTGAGTGGAACGCACACATCACAAAGCACTTTCTGAGAATGATTCTGTCTGGTTGTTATACGAAGATATTTCCTTTTCTGCAATTGTCCTCAAATCGCTTGAAATCTCCACCTGAAAATGCCACAGCAAGAGTGTTTCAAATCTGCTCTCTCTAAAGCAAGGTTCAACTCTGTGAGTTGAATACACACAACACAAAAAAGATACTGAGAACTCTTTCTTAGTCTAGCATGAAAGGAAGAAACCCCGTTTGCAACGAAGGCCTCAAAGAGGTCCAAATATCCACTTGCAGACATAACAAGCAGAGTGTTTCTAAACTGCTCTAAGAAAAGAAAGGTTAAACTCTGTGAGTTGAAGGCACACATCACAAAGTAGTTTCTGAGAATGATTCTGTCTAGTTTTTATTTGAAGATATTTCCTTTTCTACTGCTGGCATCAAATCGCTTGAAATCTCCACTTGCAAACTCCACAAAAAGAGTGTTTCAAATCTGCTCTGTGTAAAGGGACGTTCCACTCTGTGAGTTGAATACACACAGCACAAAGAAGTTACTGAGAATTCTTCTGTCTAGCATGAAATGAAGAAATCCCGTTTCCAACGAAGGCCTCAATGCGGTCCATATATCCACTTGCAGACTTTACAAACAGAGTGTTTCCAAACTGCTCTATGAAAAGAAAGGTTAAACTATGTGAGTTGAACGCACACATCACAAAGAATTTTCTGAGAATGATTCTGTCTGGTTTTTATTTGAAGATATTTCCCTTTCTACTGTTGGCATCAAATGGCTAGAAATCTCCACTTGCAAATTCCGCAAAAAGAGTGTTTCAAATCTGCTCTGTCTAAAGGGACGTTCCACTCTGTGAGTTGAATGCACACAACACAAAGAATTTACTGAGAATTCTTCGGTCTAGCATTCAATGAAGAAATCCCGTTTCCAACGAAGGCCTCAAAGAGGTCCATATATCCACTTGCAGACTTTACAAACAGTGTGTTTCCAAACTCCTCTATGAAAAGAAAGGTTAAACTCTGTGAGTTGAACGCACACATCACAAAGCACTTTCTGAGAATGATTCTGTCTGGTTATTATACGAAGATATTTCCTTTTCTGCAATTGTCCTCAAATCGCTTGAAATCTCCACCTGAAAATGCCACAGCAAGAGTGTTTCAAATCTGCTCTCTCTAAAGCAAGGTTCAACTCTGTGAGTTGAATACACACAACACAAAAAAGTTACTGAGAACTCTTCTTAGTCTAGCATGAAAGGAAGAAACCCCGTTTGCAACGAAGGCCTCAAAGAGGTCCAAATATCCACTTGCAGACATAACAAGCAGAGTGTTTCTAAACTGCTCTAAGAAAAGAAAGGTTAAACTCTGTGAGTTGAAGGCACACATCACAAAGTAGTTTCTGAGAATGATTCTGTCTAGTTTTTATTTGAAGATATTTCCTTTTCTACTGTTGGCATCAAATCGCTTGAAATCTCCACTTGCAAACTCCACAAAAAGAGTGTTTCAAATCTGCTCTGTGTAAAGGGACGTTCCACTCTGTGAGTTGAATACACACAGCACAAAGAAGTTACTGAGAATTCTTCTGTCTAGCATGAAATGAAGAAATCCCGTTTCCAACGAAGGCCTCAATGCGGTCCATATATCCACTTGCAGACTTTACAAACAGAGTGTTTCCAAACTGCTCTATGAAAAGAAAGGTTAAACTATGTGAGTTGAACGCACACATCACAAAGAATTTTCTGAGAATGATTCTGTCTGGTTTTTATTTGAAGATATTTCCCTTTCTACTGTTGGCATCAAATGGCTAAAAATCTCCACTTGCAAATTCCGCAAAAAGAGTGTTTCAAATCTGCTCTGTGTAAAGGGACGTTCCACTCTGTGAGTTCAATGCACACAACACAAAGAATTTACTGAGAATTCTTCCGTCTAGCATTCAATGAAGAAATCCCGTTTCCAACGGAGGCCTCAAACAGGTCCATATATCCAATTGCAGACTTTACAAACAGTGTGTTTCCAAGCTCCTCTATGAAAAGAAAGGTTAAACTACTGTGAGTTGAACGCACACATCACAAAGCACTTTCTGAGAATGATTCTGTCTGGTTATTATACGAAGATATTTCTTTTTCTGCAATTGTCCTCAAATCGCTTGAAATCTCCACCTGAAAATTCCACAGCAAGAGTGTTTCAAATCTGCTCTCTCTAAAGCAAGGTTCAACTCTTTGAGTTGAATACACACAACACAAAAAAGTTGCTGAGAACTCTTCTTAGTCTAGCATTAAAGGAAGAAACCCCGTTTGCAACGAAGGCCTCAAAGAGGTCCAAATATCCACTTGCAGACATAACAAGCAGAGTGTTTCTAAACTGCTCTAAGAAAAGAAAGGTTAAACTCTGTGAGTTGAAGGCACACATCACAAAGTAGTTTCTGAGAATGATTCTGTCTAGTTTTTATTTGAAGATATTTCCTTTTCTACTGTTGGCATCAAATCGCTTGAAATCTCCACTTGCAAACTCCACAAAAAGAGTGTTTCAAATCTGCTCTGTGCAAAGGGACGTTCCACTCTGTGAGTTGAATACACACAGCACAAAGAAGTTACTGAGAATTCTTCTGTCTAGCATGAAATGAAGAAATCCCGTTTCCAACGAAGGCCTCAATGCGGTCCATATATCCACTTGCAGACTTTACAAACAGAGTGTTTCCAAACTGCTCTATGAAAAGAAAGGTTAAACTATGTGAGTTGAACGCACACATCACAAAGAATTTTCTGAGAATGATTCTGTCTGGTTTTTATTTGAAGATATTTCCCTTTCTACTGTTGGCATCAAATGGCTAGAAATCTCCACTTGCAAATTCCGCAAAAAGAGTGTTTCAAATCTGCTCTGTCTAAAGAGACGTTCCACTCTGTGAGTTGAATGCACACAACACAAAGAATTTACTGAGAATTCTTCCGTCTAGCATTCAATGAAGAAATCCCGTTTCCAACGAAGGCCTCAAACAGGTCCATATATCCACTTGCAGACTTTACAAACAGTGTGTTTCCAAACTCCTCTATGAAAAGAAAGGTTAAACTCTGTGAGTTCAACGCACACATCACAAAGCACTTTCTGAGAATGATTCTGTCTGGTTGTTATACGAAGATATTTCCTTTTCTGCAATTGTCCTCAAATCGCTTGAAATCTCCACCTGAAAATGCCACAGCAAGAGTGTTTCAAATCTGCTCTCTCTAAAGCAAGGTTCAACTCTGTGAGTTGAATACACACAACACAAAAAAGTTACTGAGAACTCTTCTTAGTCTAGCATGAAAGGAAGAAACCCCGTTTGCAACGAAGGCCTCAAAGAGGTCCAAATATCCACTTGCAGACATAACAAGCAGAGTGTTTCTAAACTGCTCTAAGAAAAGAAAGGTTAAACTCTGTGAGTTGAAGGCACACATCACAAAGTAGTTTCTGAGAATGATTCTGTCTAGTTTTTATTTGAAGATATTTCCTTTTCTACTGTTGGCATCAAATCGCTTGAAATCTCCACTTGCAAACTCCACAAAAAGAGTGTTTCAAATCTGCTCTGTGTAAAGGGACGTTCCACTCTGTGAGTTGAATACACACAGCACAAAGAAGTTACTGAGAATTCTTCTGTCTAGCATGAAATGAAGAAATCCCGTTTCCAACGAAGGCCTCAATGCGGTCCATATATCCACTTGCAGACTTTACAAACAGAGTGTTTCCAAACTGCTCTATGAAAAGAAAGGTTAAACTATGTGAGTTGAACGCACACATCACAAAGAATTTTCTGAGAATGATTCTGTCTGGTTTTTATTTGAAGATATTTCCCTTTCTACTGTTGGCATCAAATGGCTAAAAATCTCCACTTGCAAATTCCGCCAAAAAGTGTTTCAAATCTGCTCTGTCTAAAGGGACGTTCCACTCTGTGAGTTGAATGCACACAACACAAAGAATTTACTGAGAATTCTTCCGTCTAGCATTCAATGAAGAAATCCCGTTTCCAACGAAGGCCTCAAACAGGTCCATATATCCAATTGCAGACATTACAAACAGTGTGTTTCCAAACTCCTCTATGAAAAGAAAGGTTAAACTCTGTGAGTTGAACGCACACATCACAAAGCACTTTCTGAGAATGATTCTGTCTGGTTATTATACGAAGATATTTCCTTTTCTGCAATTGTCCTCAAATCGCTTGAAATCTCCACCTGAAAATTCCACAGCGAGAGTGTTTCAAATCTGCTCTCTCTAAAGCAAGGTTCAACTCTGTGAGTTGAATACACACAACACAAAAAAGTTACTGAGAACTCTTCTTAGTCTAGCATGAAAGGAAGAAACCCCGTTTGCAACGAAGGCCTCAAAGAGGTCCAAATATCCACTTGCAGACATAACAAGCAGAGTGTTTCTAAACTGCTCTAAGAAAAGAAAGGTTAAACTCTGTGAGTTGAAGGCACACATCACAAAGTAGTTTCTGAGAATGATTCTGTCTAGTTTTTATTTGAAGATATTTCCTTTTCTACTGTTGGCATCAAATCGCTTGAAATCTCCACTTGCAAACTCCACAAAAAGAGTGTTTCAAATCTGCTCTGTGCAAAGGGACGTTCCACTCTGTGAGTTGAATACACACAGCACAAAGAAGTTACTGAGAATTCTTCTGTCTAGCATGAAATGAAGAAATCCCGTTTCCAACGAAGGCCTCAATGCGGTCCATATATCCACTTGCAGACTTTACAAACAGAGTGTTTCCAAACTGCTCTATGAAAAGAAAGGTTAAACTATGTGAGTTGAATGCACACATCACAAAGAATTTTCTGAGAATGATTCTGTCTGGTTTTTATTTGAAGATATTTCCCTTTCTACTGTTGGCATCAAATGGCTAGAAATCTCCACTTGCAAATTCCGCAAAAAGAGTGTTTCAAATCTGCTCTGTCTAAAGGGACGTTCCACTCTGTGAGTTGAATGCACACAACACAAAGAATTTACTGAGAATTCTTCCGTCTAGCATTCAATGAAGAAATCCCGTTTCCAACGAAGGCCTCAAACAGGTCCATATATCCAATTGCAGACTTTACAAACAGTGTGTTTCCAAACTCCTCTATGAAAAGAAAGGTTAAACTCTGTGAGTTGAACGCACACATCACAAAGCACTTTCTGAGAATGATTCTGTCTGGTTATTATACGAAGATATTTCCTTTTCTGCAATTGTCCTCAAATCGCTTGAAATCTCCACCTGAAAATGCCACAGCAAGAGTGTTTCAAATCTGCTCTCTCTAAAGCAAGGTTCAACTCTGTGAGTTGAATACACACAACACAAAAAAGTTACTGAGAACTCTTCTTAGTCTAGCATGAAAGGAAGAAACCCCGTTTGCAACGAAGGCCTCAAAGAGGTCCAAATATCCACTTGCAGACATAACAAGCAGAGTGTTTCTAAACTGCTCTAAGAAAAGAAAGGTTAAACTCTGTGAGTTGAAGGCAGACATCACAAAGTAGTTTCTGAGGATGATTCTGTCTAGTTTTTATTTGAAGATATTTCCTTTTCTACTGTTGGCATCAAATCGCTTGAAATCTCCACTTGCAAACTCCACAAAAAGAGTGTTTCAAATCTGCTCTGTGCAAAGGGACGTTCCACTCTGTGAGTTGAGTACACACAGCACAAAGAAGTTACTGAGAATTCTTCTGTCTAGCATGAAATGAAGAAATCCCGTTTCCAACGAAGGCCTCAATGCGGTCCATATATCCACTTGCAGACTTTTCAAACAGAGTGTTTCCAAACTGCTCTATGAAAAGAAAGGTTAAACTATGTGAGTTGAACGCACACATCACAAAGAATTTTCTGAGAATGATTCTGTCTGGTTTTTATTTGAAGATATTTCCCTTTCTACTGTTGGCATCAAATGGCTAGAAATCTCCACTTGCAAATTCCGCAAAAAGAGTGTTTCAAATCTGCTCTGTCTAAAGGGACGTTCCACTCTGTCAGTTGAATGCACACAACATAAAGAATTTACTGAGAATTCTTCCGTCTAGCATTCAATGAAGAAATCCCGTTTCCAACGAAGGCCTCAAACAGGTCCATATATCCAATTGCAGACTTTACAAACAGTGTGTTTCCAAACTCCTCTATGAAAAGAAAGGTTAAACTCTGTGAGTTGAACGCACACATCACAAAGCACTTTCTGAGAATGATTCTGTCTGGTTATTATACGAAGATATTTCCTTTTCTGCAATTGTCCTCAAATCGCTTGAAATCTCCACCTGAAAATGCCACAGCAAGAGTGTTTCAAATCTGCTCTCTCTAAAGCAAGGTTCAACTCTGTGAGTTGAATACACACAACACAAAAAAGTTACTGAGAACTCTTCTTAGTCTAGCATGAAAGGAAGAAACCCCGTTTGCAACGAAGGCCTCAAAGAGGTCCAAATATCCACTTGCAGACATAACAAGCAGAGTGTTTCTAAACTGCTCTATGAAAAGAAAGGTTAAACTCTGTGAGTTGAAGGCACACATCACAAAGTAGTTTCTGAGAATGATTCTGTCTAGTTTTTATTTGAAGATATTTCCTTTTCTACTGTTGGCATCAAATCGCTTGAAATCTCCACTTGCAAATTCCACAAAAAGAGTGTTTCAAATCTGCTCTGTGTAAAGGGACGTTCCACTCTGTGAGTTGAATACACACAGCACAAGGAAGTTACTGAGAATTCTTCTGTCTAGCATGAAATGAAGAAATCCCGTTTCCAACGAAGGCCTCAATGCGGTCCATATATCCACTTGCAGACTTTACAAACAGAGTGTTTCCAAACTGCTCTATGAAAAGAAAGGTTAAACTATGTGAGTTGAACGCACACATCACAAAGAATTTTCTGAGAATGATTCTGTCTGGTTTTTATTTGAAGATATTTCCCTTTCTACTGTTGGCATCAAATGGCTAGAAATCTCCACTTGCAAATTCCGCAAAAAGAGTGTTTCAAATCTGCTCTGTCTAAAGGGACGTTCCACTCTGTGAGTTGAATGCACACAACACAAAGTATTTACTGAGAATTCTTCCGTCTAGCATTCAATGAAGAAATCCCGTTTCCAACGAAGGCCTCAAACAGGTCCATATATCCAATTGCAGACTTTACAAACAGTGTGTTTCCAAACTCCTCTATGAAAAGAAAGGTTAAACTCTGTGAGTTGAACGCACACATCACAAAGCACTTTCTGAGAATGATTCTGTCTGGTTGTTATACGAAGATATTTCCTTTTCTGCAATTGTCCTCAAATCGCTTGAAATCTCCACCTGAAAATGCCACAGCAAGAGTGTTTCAAATCTGCTCTCTCTAAAGCAAGGTTCAGCTCTGTGAGTTGAATACACACAACACAAAAAAGTTACTGAGAACTCTTCTTAGTCTAGCATTAAAGGAAGAAACCCCGTTTGCAACGAAGGCCTCAAAGAGGTCCAAATATCCACTTGCAGACATAACAAGCAGAGTGTTTCTAAACTGCTCTAAGAAAAGAAAGGTTAAACTCTGTGAGTTGAAGGCACACATCACAAAGTAGTTTCTGAGAATGATTCTGTCTAGTTTTTATTTGAAGATATTTCCTTTTCTACTGTTGGCATCAAATCGCTTGAAATCTCCACTTACAAATTCCACAAAAAGAGTGTTTCAAGTCTGCTCTGTGCAAAGGGACGTTCCACTCTGTGAGTTGAATACACACAGCACAAAGAAGTTACTGAGAATTCTTCTGTCTAGCATGAAATGAAGAAATCCCGTTTCCAACGAAGGCCTCAATGCGGTCCATATATCCACTTGCAGACTTTACAAACAGAGTGTTTCCAAACTGCTCTATGAAAAGAAAGGTTAAACTATGTGAGTTGAACGCACACATCACAAAGAATTTTCTGAGAATGATTCTGTCTGGTTTTCATTTGAAGATATTTCCCTTTCTACTGTTGGCATCAAATGGCTAGAAATCTCCACTTGCAAATTCCGCAAAAAGAGTGTTTCAAATCTGCTCTGTCTAAAGGGACGTTCCACTCTGTGAGTTGAATGCACACAACACAAAGAATTTACTGAGAATTCTTCCGTCTAGCATTCAATGAAGAAATCCCGTTTCCAACGAAGGCCTCAAACAGGTCCATATATCCACTTGCAGAGTTTACAAACAGTTTGTTTCCAAACTCCTCTATGAAAAGAAAGGTTAAACTCTGTGAGTGGAACGCACACATCACAAAGCACTTTCTGAGAATGATTCTGTCTGGTTATTATACGAAGATATTTCCTTTTCTGCAATTGTCCTCAAATCGCTTGAAATCTCCACCTGAAAATGCCACAGCAAGAGTGTTTCAAATCTGCTCTCTCTAAAGCAAGGTTCAACTCTGTGAGTTGAATACACACAACACAAAAAAGTTACTGAGAACTCTTCTTAGTCTAGCATGAAAGGAAGAAACCCCGTTTGCAACGAAGGCCTCAAAGAGGTCCAAATATCCACTTGCAGACATAACAAGCAGAGTGTTTCTAAACTGCTCTAAGAAAAGAAAGGTTAAACTCTGTGAGTTGAAGGCACACATCACAAAGTAGTTTCTGAGAATGATTCCTGTCTAGTTTTTATTTGAAGATATTTCCTTTTCTACTGTTGGCATCAAATCGCTTGAAATCTCCAATTGCAAACTCCACAAAAAGAGTGTTTCAAATCTGCTCTGTGCAAAGGGACGTTCCACTCTGTGAGTTGAATACACACAGCACAAAGAAGTTACTGAGAATTCTTCTGTCTAGCATGAAATGAAGAAATCCCGTTTCCAACGAAGGCCTCAATGCGGTCCATATATCCACTTGCAGACTTTACAAACAGAGTGTTTCCAAACTGCTCTATGAAAAGAAAGGTTAAACTATGTGAGTTGAACGCACACATCACAAAGAATCTTCTGAGAATGATTCTGTCTGGTTTTTATTTGAAGATGTTTCCCTTTCTACTGTTGGCATCAAATGGCTAGAAATCTCCACTTGCAAATTCCGCAAAAAGAGTGTTTCAAATCTGCTCTGTCTAAAGGGACGTTCCACTCTGTCAGTTGAATGCACACAACACAAAGAATTTACTGAGAATTCTTCCGTCTAGCATTCAATGAAGAAATCCCGTTTCCAACGAAGGCCTCAAACAGGTCCTTATATCCAATTGCAGACTTTACAAACAGTGTGTTTCCAAACTCCTCTATGAAAAGGAAGGTTAAACTCTGTGAGTTGAACGCACACATCACAAAGCACTTTCTGAGAATGATTCTGTCTGGTTATTATTTGAAGATATTTCCTTTTCTGCAATTGTCCTCAAATCGCTTGAAATCTCCACCTGAAAATGCCACAGCAAGAGTGTTTCAAATCTGCTCTCTCTAAAGCAAGGTTCAACTTTGTGAGTTGAATACACACAGCACAAAGAAGTTACTGAGAATTCTTCTGTCTAGCATGAAAGGAAGAAACCCCGTTTGCAACGAAGGCCTCAATGCGGTCCATATATCCACTTGCAGACTTTACAAACAGAGTGTTTCCAAACTGCTCTATGAAAAGAAAGGTTAAACTATGTGAGTTGAACGCACACATCACAAAGAATTTTCTGAGAATGATTCTGTCTGGTTTTTATTTGAAGATATTTCCCTTTCTACTGTTGGCATCAAATGGCTAGAAATCTCCACTTGCAAATTCCGCAAAAAGAGTGTTTCAAATCTGCTCTGTCTAAAGGGACGTTCCACTCTGTGAGTTGAATGCACACAACACAAAGAATTTACTGAGAATTCTTCCGTCTAGCATGCAATGAAGAAATCCCGTTTCCAACGAAGGCCTCAAACAGGTCCATATATCCAATTGCAGACTTTACAAACAGTGTGTTTCCAAACTCCTCTATGAAAAGAAAGGTTAAACTCTGTGAGTTGAACGCACACATCACAAAGCACTTTCTGAGAATGATTCTGTCTGGTTATTATACGAAGATATTTCCTTTTCTGCAATTGTCCTCAAATCGCTTGAAATCTCCACCTGAAAATGCCACAGCAAGAGTGTTTCAAATCTGCTCTCTCTAAAGCAAGGTTCAACTCTGTGAGTTGAATACACACAACACAAAAAAGTTACTGAGAACTCTTCTTAGTCTAGCATGAAAGGAAGAAACCCCGTTTGCAACGAAGGCCTCAAAGAGGTCCAAATATCCACTTGCAGACATAACAAGCAGAGTGTTTCTAAGCTGCTCTCAGAAAAGAAAGGTTAAACTCGGTGAGTTGAAGGCACACATCACAAAGTAGTTTCTGAGAATGATTCTGTCTAGTTTTTATTTGAAGATACTTCCTTTTCTACTGTTGGCATCAAATCGCTTGAAATCTCCACTTGCAAACTCCACAAAAAGAGTGTTTCAAATCTGCTCTGTGCAAAGGGACGTTCCACTCTGTGAGTTGAATACACACAGCACAAAGAAGTTACTGAGAATTCTTCTGTCTAGCATGAAATGAAGAAATCCCGTTTCCAACGAAGGCCTCAATGCGGTCCATATATCCACTTGCAGACTTTACAAACAGAGTGTTTCCAAACTGCTCTATGAAAAGAAAGGTTAAACTATGTGAGTTGAACGCACACATCACAAAGAATTTTCTGAGAATGATTCTGTCTGGTTTTTATTTGAAGATATTTCCCTTTCTACTGTTGGCATCAAATGGCTAGAAATCTGCACTTGCAAATTCCGCAAAAAGAGTGTTTCAAATCTGCTCTGTCTAAAGGGACGTTCCACTCTGTGAGTTGAATGCACACAACACAAAGAATTTACTGAGAATTCTTCCGTCTAGCATTCAATGAAGAAATCCCGTTTCCAACGAAGGCCTCAAACAGGTCCATATATCCACTTGCAGACTTTACAAACAGTGTGTTTCCAAACTCCTCTATGAAAAGAAAGGTTAAACTCTGTGAGTTGAACGCACACATCACAAAGCACTTTCTGAGAATGATTCTGTCTGGTTATTATACGAAGATATTTCCTTTTCTGCAATTGTCCTCAAATCGCTTGAAATCTCCACCTGAAAATGCCACAGCAAGAGTGTTTCAAATCTGCTCTCTCTAAAGCAAGGTTCAACTCTGTGAGTTGAATACACACAACACAAAAAAGTTACTGAGAACTCTTCTTAGTCTAGCATGAAAGGAAGAAACCCCGTTTGCAACGAAGGCCTCAAAGAGGTCCAAATATCCACTTGCAGACATAACAAGCAGAGTGTTTCTAAACTGCTCTAAGAAAAGAAAGGTTAAACTCTGTGAGTTGAAGGCACACATCACAAAGTAGTTTCTGAGAATGATTCTGTCTAGTTTTTATTTGAAGATATTTCCTTTTCTACTGTTGGCATCAAATCGCTTGAAATCTCCACTTGCAAACTCCACAAAAAGAGTGTTTCAAATCTGCTCTGTGCAAAGGGACGTTCCACTCTGTGAGTTGAATACACACAGCACAAAGAAGTTACTGAGAATTCTTCTGTCTAGCATGAAATGAAGAAATCCCGTTTCCAACGAAGGCCTCAATGCGGTCCATATATCCACTTGCAGACTTTACAAACAGAGTGTTTCCAAACTGCTCTATGAAAAGAAAGGTTAAACTATGTGAGTTGAACGCACACATCACAAAGAATTTTCTGAGAATGATTCTGTCTGGTTTTTATTTGAAGATATTTCCCTTTCTACTGTTGGCATCAAATGGCTAGAAATCTCCACTTGCAAATTCCGCAAAAAGAGTGTTTCAAATCTGCTCTGTCTAAAGGGACGTTCCACTCTGTGAGTTGAATGCACACAACACAAAGAATTTACTGAGAATTCTTCCGTCTAGCATTCAATGAAGAAATCCCGTTTCCAACGAAGGCCTCAAACAGGTCCATATATCCACTTGCAGACTTTACAAACAGTGTGTTTCCAAACTCCTCTATGAAAAGAAAGGTTAAACTCTGTGAGTGGAACGCACACATCACAAAGCACTTTCTGAGAATGATTCTGTCTGGTTATTATACGAAGATATTTCTTTTTCTGCAATTGTCCTCAAATCGCTTGAAATCTCCACCTGAAAATGCCACAGCAAGAGTGTTTCAAATCTGCTCTCTCTAAAGCAAGGTTCAACTCTGTGAGTTGAATACACACAACACAAAAAAGTTACTGAGAACTCTTCTTAGTCTAGCATGAAAGGAAGAAACCCCGTTTGCAACGAAGGCCACAAAGAGGTCCAAATATCCACTTGCAGACATAACAAGCAGAGTGTTTCTAAACTGCTCTAAGAAAAGAAAGGTTAAACTCTGTGAGTTGAAGGCACACATCACAAAGCAGTTTCTGAGAATGATTCTGTCTAGTTTTTATTTGAAGATATTTCCTTTTCTACTGTTGGCATCAAATCGCTTGAAATCTCCACTTGCAAACTCCACAAAAAGAGTGTTTCAAATCTGCTCTGTGTAAAGGGACGTTCCACTCTGTGAGTTGAATACACACAGCACAAAGAAGTTACTGAGAATTCTTCTGTCTAGCATGAAATGAAGAAATCCCGTTTCCAACGAAGGCCTCAATGCGGTCCATATATCCACTTGCAGACTTTACAAACAGAGTGTTTCCAAACTGCTCTATGAAAAGAAAGGTTAAACTATGTGAGTTGAACGCACACATCACAAAGAATTTTCTGAGAATGATTCTGTCTGGTTTTTATTTGAAGATATTTCCCTTTCTACTGTTGGCATCAAATGGCTAGAAATCTCCACTTGCAAATTCCGCAAAAAGAGTGTTTCAAATCTGCTCTGTCTAAAGGGACGTTCCACTCTGTGAGTTGAATGCACACAACACAAAGAATTTACTGAGAATTCTTCCGTCTAGCATTCAATGAAGAAATCCCGTTTCCAACGAAGGCCTCAAACAGGTCCATATATCCAATTGCAGACTTTACAAACAGTGTGTTTCCAAACTCCTCTATGAAAAGAAAGGTTAAACTCTGTGAGTTGAACGCACACATCACAAAGCACTTTCTGAGAATGATTCTGTCTGGTTATTATACGAAGATATTTCCTTTTCTGCAATTGTCCTCAAATCGCTTGAAATCTCCACCTGAAAATGCCACAGCAAGAGTGTTTCAAATCTGCTCTCTCTAAAGCAAGGTTCAACTCTGTGAGTTGAATACACACAACACAAAAAAGTTACTGAGAACTCTTCTTAGTCTAGCATGAAAGGAAGAAACCCCGTTTGCAACGAAGGCCTCAAAGAGGTCCAAATATCCACTTGCAGACATAACAAGCAGAGTGTTTCTAAACTGCTCTAAGAAAAGAAAGGTTAAACTCTGTAAGTTGAAGGCACACATCACAAAGTAGTTTCTGAGAATGATTCTGTCTAGTTTTTATTTGAAGATATTTCCTTTTCTACTGTTGGCATCAAATCGCTTGAAATCTCCAATTGCAAACTCCACAAAAAGAGTGTTTCAAATCTGCTCTGTGTAAAGGGACGTTCCACTCTGTGAGTTGAATACACACAGCACAAAGAAGTTACTGAGAATTCTTCTGTCTAGCATGAAATGAAGAAATCCCGTTTCCAACGAAGGCCTCAATGCGGTCCATATATCCACTTGCAGACTTTACAAACAGAGTGTTTCCAAACTGCTCTATGAAAAGAAAGGTTAAACTATGTGAGTTGAACGCACACATCACAAAGAATTTTCTGAGAATGATTCTGTCTGGTTTTTATTTGAAGATATTTCCCTTTCTACTGTTGGCATCAAATGGCTAGAAATCTCCACTTGCAAATTCCGCAAAAAGAGTGTTTCAAATCTGCTCTGTCTAAAGGGACGTTCCACTCTGTGAGTTGAATGCACACCACACAAAGAATTTACTGAGAATTCTTCCGTCTAGCATTCAATGAAGAAATCCCGTTTCCAACGAAGGCCTCAAACAGGTCCATATATCCAATTGCAGACTTTACAAACAGTGTGTTTCCAAACTCCTCTATGAAAAGAAAGGTTAAACTCTGTGAGTTGAACGCACACATCACAAAGCACTTTCTGAGAATGATTCTGTCTGGTTGTTATACGAAGATATTTCCTTTTCTGCAATTGTCCTCAAATCGCTTGAAATCTCCACCTGAAAATGCCACAGCAAGAGTGTTTCAAATCTGCTCTCTCTAAAGCAAGGTTCAACTCTGTGAGTTGAATACACACAACGCAAAAAAGTTACTGAGAACTCTTCTTAGTCTAGCATGAAAGGAAGAAACCCCGTTTGCAACGAAGGCCTCAAAGAGGTCCAAATATCCACTTGCAGACATAACAAGCAGAGTGTTTCTAAACTGCTCTAAGAAAAGAAAGGTTAAACTCTGTGAGTTGAAGGCACACATCACAAAGTAGTTTCTGAGAATGATTCTGTCTAGTTTTTATTTGAAGATATTTCCTTTTCTACTGTTGGCATCAAATCGCTTGAAATCTCCACTTGCAAACTGCAGAAAAAGAGTGTTTCAAATCTGCTCTGTGCAAAGGGACGTTCCACTCTGTGAGTTGAATACACACAGCACAAAGAAGTTACTGAGAATTCTTCTGTCTAGCATGAAATGAAGAAATCCCGTTTCCAACGAAGGCCTCAATGCGGTCCATATATCCACTTGCAGACTTTACAAACAGAGTGTTTCCAAACTGCTCTATGAAAAGAAAGGTTAAACTATGTGAGTTGAACGCACACATCACAAAGAATTTTCTGAGAATGATTCTGTCTGGTTTTTATTTGAAGATATTTCCCTTTCTACTGTTGGCATCAAATGGCTAGAAATCTCCACTTGCAAATTCCGCAAAAAGAGTGTTTCAAATCTGCTCTGTCTAAAGGGACGTTCCACTCTGTGAGTTGAATGCACACAACACAAAGAATTTACTGAGAATTCTTCCGTCTAGCATTCAATGAAGAAATCCCGTTTCCAACGAAGGCCTCAAACAGGTCCATATATCCAATTGCAGACTTTACAAACAGTGTGTTTCCAAACTCCTCTATGAAAAGAAAGGTTAAACTCTGTGAGTTGAACGCACACATCACAAAGCACTTTCTGAGAATGATTCTGTCTGGTTATTATACGAAGATATTTCCTTTTCTGCAATTGTCCTCAAATCGTTTGAAATCTCCACCTGATAATGCCACAGCGAGAGTGTTTCAAATCTGCTCTCTCTAAAGCAAGGTTCAACTGTGTGAGTTGAATACACACAACACAAAAAAGTTACTGAGAACTCTTCTTAGTCTAGCATTAAAGGAAAAAACCCCGTTTGCAACCGAAGGCCTCAAAGAGGTGCAAATATCCACTTGCAGACATAACAAGCAGAGTGTTTCTAAACTGCTCTAAGAAAAGAAAGGTTAAACTCTGTGAGTTGAAGGCACACATCACAAAGAATTTTCTGAGAATGATTCTGTGCTAGTTTTTATTTGAAGATACTTCCTTTTCTACTGTTGGCATCAAATCGCTTGAAATCTCCACTTGCAAACTCCACAAAAAGAGTGTTTCAAATCTGCTCTGTGCAAAGGGACGTTCCACTCTGTGAGTTGAATACACACAGCACAAAGAAGTTACTGAGAATTCTTCTGTCTAGCATGAAATGAAGAAATCCCGTTTCCAACGAAGGCCTCAATGCGGTCCATATATCCACTTGCAGACTTTACAAACAGAGTGTTTCCAAACTACTCTATGAAAAGAAAGGTTAAACTATGTGAGTTGAACGCACACATCACAAAGAATTTTCTGAGAATGATTCTGTCTGGTTTTTATTTGAAGATATTTCCCTTTCTACTGTTGGCATCAAATGGCTAGAAATCTCCACTTGCAAATTCCGCAAAAAGAGTGTTTCAAATCTGCTCTGTCTAAAGGGACGTTCCACTCTGTGAGTTGAATGCACACAACACAAAGAATTTACTGAGAATTCTTCCGTCTAGCATTCAATGAAGAAATCCCGTTTCCAACGAAGGCCTCAAACAGGTCCATATATCCAATTGCAGACTTTAGAAACAGTGTGTTTCCAAACTCCTCTATGAAAAGAAAGGTTAAACTCTGTGAGTTGAACGCACACATCACAAAGCACTTTCTGAGAATGATTTCTGTCTGGTTATTATACGAAGATATTTCCTTTTCTGCAATTGTCCTCAAATCGCTTGAAATCTCCACCTGAAAATGTCACAGAAAGAGTGTTTCAAATCTGCTCTCTCTAAAGCAAGGTTCAACTCTGTGAGTTGAATACACACAACACAGAAAAGTTACTGAGAACTCTTCTTAGTCTAGCATGAAAGGAAGAAACCCCGTTTGCAACGAAGGCCTCAAAGAGGTCCAAATATCCACTTGCAGACATAACAAGCAGAGTGTTTCTAAACTGCTCTAAGAAAAGAAAGGTTAAACTCTGTGAGTTGAAGGCACACATCACAAAGTAGTTTCTGAGAATGATTCTGTCTAGTTTTTATTTGAAGATATTTCCTTTTCTACTGTTGGCATCAAATCGCTTGAAATCTCCACTTGCAAACTCCACAAAAAGAGTGTTTCAAATCTGCTCTGTGCAAAGGGACGTTCCACTCTGTGAGTTGAATACACACAGCACAAAGAAGTTACTGAGAATTCTTCTGTCTAGCATGAAATGAAGAAATCCCGTTTCCAACGAAGGCCTCAATGCGGTCCATATATCCACTTGCAGACTTTACAAACAGAGTGTTTCCAAACTGCTCTATGAAAAGAAAGGTTAAACTATGTGAGTTGAACGCACACATCACAAAGAATTTTCTGAGAATGATTCTGTCTGGTTTTTATTTGAAGATATTTCCCTTTCTACTGTTGGCATCAAATGGCTAGAAATCTCCACTTGCAAATTCCGCAAAAAGAGTGTTTCAAATCTGCTCTGTCTAAAGGGACGTTCCACTCTGTGAGTTGAATGCACACAACACAAAGAATTTACTGAGAATTCTTCCGTCTAGCATTCAATGAAGAAATCCCGTTTCCAACGAAGGCCTCAAACAGGTCCATATATCCACTTGCAGACTTTACAAACAGTGTGTTTCCAAACTCCTCTATGAAAAGAAAGGTTAAACTCTGTGAGTGGAACGCACACATCACAAAGCACTTTCTGAGAATGATTCTGTCTGGTTATTATACGAAGATATTTCTTTTTCTGCAATTGTCCTCAAATCGCTTGAAATCTCCACCTGAAAATGCCACAGCAAGAGTGTTTCAAATCTGCTCTCTCTAAAGCAAGGTTCAACTCTGTGAGTTGAATACACACAACACAAAAAAGTTACTGAGAACTCTTCTTAGTCTAGCATGAAAGGAAGAAACCCCGTTTGCAACGAAGGCCTCAAAGAGGTCCAAATATCCACTTGCAGACATAACAAGCAGAGTGTTTCTAAACTGCTCTAAGAAAAGAAAGGTTAAACTCTGTGAGTTGAAGGCACACATCACAAAGTAGTTTCTGAGAATGATTCTGTCTAGTTTTTATTTGAAGATATTTCCTTTTCTACTGTTGGCATCAAATCGCTTGAAATCTCCACTTGCAAACTCCACAAAAAGAGTGTTTCAAATCTGCTCTGTGTAAAGGGACGTTCCACTCTGTGAGTTGAATACACACAGCACAAAGAAGTTACTGAGAATTCTTCTGTCTAGCATGAAATGAAGAAATCCCGTTTCCAACGAAGGCCTCAATGCGGTCCATATATCCACTTGCAGACTTTACAAACAGAGTGTTTCCAAACTGCTCTATGAAAAGAAAGGTTAAACTATGTGAGTTGAACGCACACATCACAAAGAATTTTCTGAGAATGATTCTGTCTGGTTTTTATTTGAAGATGTTTCCCTTTCTACTGTTGGCATCAAATGGTTAGAAATCTCCACTTGCAAATTCCGCAAAAAGAGTGTTTCAAATCTGCTCTGTCTAAAGGGACGTTCCACTCTGTCAGTTGAATGCACACAACACAAAGTATTTACTGAGAATTCTTCCGTCTAGCATTCAATGAAGAAATCCCGTTTCCAACGAAGGCCTCAAACATGTCTATATATCCAATTGCAGACTTTACAAACAGTGTGTTTCCAAACTCCTCTATGAAAAGAAAGGTCAAACTCTGTGAGTGGAACGCACACATCACAAAGCACTTTCTGAGAATGATTCTGTCTGGTTATTATACGAAGATATTTCCTTTTCTGCAATTGTCCTCAAATCGCTTGAAATCTCCACCTGAAAATGCCACAGCAAGAGTGTTTCAAATCTGCTCTCTCTAAAGCAAGGTTCAACTCTGTGAGTTGAATACACACAACACAAAAAAGTTACTGAGAACTCTTCTTAGTCTAGCATGAAAGGAAGAAACCCCGTTTGCAACGAAGGCCTCAAAGAGGTCCAAATATCCACTTGCAGACATAACAAGCAGAGTGTTTCTAAACTGCTCTAAGAAAAGAAAGGTTAAACTCTGTGAGTTGAAGGCACACATCACAAAGTAGTTTCTGAGAATGATTCTGTCTAGTTTTTATTTGAAGATATTTCCTTTTCTACTGTTGGCATCAAATCGCTTGAAATCTCCACTTGCAAACTCCACAAAAAGAGTGTTTCAAATCTGCTCTGTGTAAAGGGACGTTCCACTCTGTGAGTTGAATACACACAGCACAAAGAAGTTACTGAGAATTCTTCTGTCTAGCATGAAATGAAGAAATCCCGTTTCCAACGAAGGCCTCAATGCGGTCCATATATCCACTTGCAGACTTTACAAACAGAGTGTTTCCAAACTGCTCTATGAAAAGAAAGGTTAAACTATGTGAGTTGAACGCACACATCACAAAGAATTTTCTGAGAATGATTCTGTCTGGTTTTTATTTGAAGATATTTCCCTTTCTACTGTTGGCATCAAATGGCTAGAAATCTCCACTTGCAAATTCCGCAAAAAGAGTGTTTCAAATCTGCTCTGTCTAAAGGGACGTTCCACTCTGTGAGTTGAATGCACACAACACAAAGAATTTACTGAGAATTCTTCCGTCTAGCATTCAATGAAGAAATCCCGTTTCCAACGAAGGCCTCAAACAGGTCCATATATCCACTTGCAGACTTTACAAACAGTGTGTTTCCAAACTCCTCTATGAAAAGAAAGGTTAAACTCTGTGAGTGGAACGCACACATCACAAAGCACTTTCTGAGAATGATTCTGTCTGGTTATTATACGAAGATATTTCCTTTTCTGCAATTGTCCTCAAAACGCTTGAAATCTCCACCTGAAAATGCCACAGCAAGAGTGTTTCAAATCTGCTCTCTCTAAAGCAAGGTTCAACTGTGTGAGTTGAATACACACAACACAGAAAAGTTACTGAGAACTCTTCTTAGTCTAGCATGAAAGGAAGAAACCCCGTTTGCAACGAAGGCCTCAAAGAGGTCCAAATATCCACTTGCAGACATAACAAGCAGAGTGTTTCTAAACTGCTCTAAGAAAAGAAAGGTTAAACTCTGTGAGTTGAAGGCACACATCACAAAGTAGTTTCTGAGAATGATTCTGTCTAGTTTTTATTTGAAGATATTTCCTTTTCTACTGTTGGCATCAAATCGCTTGAAATCTCCACTTGCAAACTCCACAAAAAGAGTGTTTCAAATCTGCTCTGTGTAAAGGGACGTTCCACTCTGTGAGTTGAATACACACAGCACAAAGAAGTTACTGAGAATTCTTCTGTCTAGCATGAAATGAAGAAATCCCGTTTCCAACGAAGGCCTCAATGCGGTCCATATATCCACTTGCAGACTTTACAAACAGAGTGTTTCCAAACTGCTCTATGAAAAGAAAGGTTAAACTATGTGAGTTGAACGCACACATCACAAAGAATTTTCTGAGAATGATTCTGTCTGGTTTTTATTTGAAGATATTTCCCTTTCTACTGTTGGCATCAAATGGCTAGAAATCTCCACTTGCAAATTCCGCAAAAAGAGTGTTTCAAATCTGCTCTGTCTAAAGGGACGTTCCACTCTGTGAGTTGAATGCACACAACACAAAGAATTTACTGAGAATTCTTCCGTCTAGCATTCAATGAAGAAATCCCGTTTCCAACGAAGGCCTCAAACAGGTCCATATATCCAATTGCAGACTTTACAAACAGTGTGTTTCCAAACTCCTCTATGAAAAGAAAGGTTAAACTCTGTGAGTTGAACGCACACATCACAAAGCACTTTCTGAGAATGATTCTGTCTGGTTATTATACGAAGATATTTCCTTTTCTGCAATTGTCCTCAAATCGCTTGAAATCTCCACCTGAAAATGCCACAGCAAGAGTGTTTCAAATCTGCTCTCTCTAAAGCAAGGTTCAACTCTGTGAGTTGAATACACACAACACAAAAAAGTTACTGAGAACTCTTCTTAGTCTAGCATGAAAGGAAGAAACCCCGTTTGCAACGAAGGCCTCAAAGAGGTCCAAATATCCACTTGCAGACATAACAAGCAGAGTGTTTCTAAACTGCTCTAAGAAAAGAAAGGTTAAACTCTGTGAGTTGAAGGCACACATCACAAAGTAGTTTCTGAGAATGATTCTGTCTAGTTTTTATTTGAAGATATTTCCTTTTCTACTGTTGGCATCAAATCGCTTGAAATCTCCACTTGCAAATTCCACAAAAAGAGTGTTTCAAATCTGCTCTGTGCAAAGGGACGTTCCACTCTGTGAGTTGAATACACACAGCACAAAGAAGTTACTGAGAATTCTTCTGTCTAGCATGAAATGAAGAAATCCCGTTTCCAACGAAGGCCTCAATGCGGTCCATATATCCACTTGCAGACATTACAAACAGAGTGTTTCCAAACTGCTCTATGAAAAGAAAGGTTAAACTATGTGAGTTGAACGCACACATCACAAAGAATTTTCTGAGAATGATTCTGTCTGGTTTTTATTTGAAGATATTTCCCTTTCTACTGTTGGCATCAAATGGCTAGAAATCTCCACTTGCAAATTCCGCAAAAAGAGTGTTTCAAATCTGCTCTGTCTAAAGGGACGTTCCACTCTGTGAGTTGAATGCACACAACACAAAGAATTTACTGAGAATTCTTCCGTCTAGCATTCAATGAAGAAATCCCGTTTCCAACGAAGGCCTCAAACAGGTCCATATATCCAATTGCAGACTTTACAAACAGTGTGTTTCCAAACTCCTCTATGAAAAGAAAGGTTAAACTCTGTGAGTTGAACGCACACATCACAAAGCACTTTCTGAGAATGATTCTGTCTGGTTATTATACGAAGATATTTCCTTTTCTGCAATTGTCCTCAAAACGCTTGAAATCTCCACCTGAAAATGCCACAGCAAGAGTGTTTCAAATCTGCTCTCTCTAAAGCAAGGTTCAACTCTGTGAGTTGAATACACACAACACAAAAAAGTTACTGAGAACTCTTCTTAGTCTAGCATGAAAGGAAGACACCCCGTTTGCAACGAAGGCCTCAAAGAGGTCCAAATAACCACTTGCAGACATAACAAGCAGAGTGTTTCTAAACTGCTCTAAGAAAAGAAAGGTTAAACTCTGTGAGTTGAAGGCACACATCACAAAGTAGTTTCAGAGAATGATTCTGTCTAGTTTTTATTTGAAGATATTTCCTTTTCTACTGTTGGCATCAAATCGCTTGAAATCTCCACTTGCAAACTCCACAAAAAGAGTGTTTCAAATCTGCTCTGTGCAAAGGGACGTTCCACTCTGTGAGTTGAATACACACAGCACAAAGAAGTTACTGAGAATTCTTCTGTCTAGCATGAAATGAAGAAATCCCGTTTCCAACGAAGGCCTCAATGCGGTCCATATATCCACTTGCAGACTTTACAAACAGAGTGTTTCCAAACTGCTCTATGAAAAGAAAGGTTAAACTATGTGAGTTGAACGCACACATCACAAAGAATTTTCTGAGAATGATTCTGTCTGGTTTTTATTTGAAGATATTTCCCTTTCTACTGTTGGCATCAAATGGCTAGAAATCTCCACTTGCAAATTCCGCAAAAAGAGTGTTTCAAATCTGCTCTGTCTAAAGGGACGTTCCACTCTGTGAATTGAATGCATACAACACAAAGAATTTACTGAGAATTCTTCCGTCTATCATTATATGATAAAATCCCGTTTCCAACGAAGGCCTCAAACAGGTCCATATATCCAATTGCAGACTTTACAAACAGTGTGTTTCCAAACTCCTCTATGAAAAGAAAGGTTAAACTCTGTGAGTTGAACGCACACATCACAAAGCACTTTCTGAGAATGATTCTGTCTGGTTATTATACGAAGATATTTCCTTTTCTGCAATTGTCCTCAAATCGTTTGAAATCTCCACCTGAAAATGCCACAGCGAGAGTGTTTCAAATCTGCTCTCTCTAAAGCAAGGTTCAACTCTGTGAGTTGAATACACACAACACAAAAAAGTTACTGAGAACTCTTCTTAGTCTAGCATTAAAGGAAGAAACCCCGTTTGCAACGAAGGCCTCAAAGAGGTCCAAATATCCACTTGCAGACATAACAAGCAGAGTGTTTCTAAGCTGCTCTAAGAAAAGAAAGGTTAAACTCTGTGAGTTGAAGGCACACATCACAAAGTAGTTTCTGAGAATGATTCTGTCTAGTTTTTATTTGAAGATATTTCCTTTTCTACTGTTGGCATCAAATCGCTTGAAATCTCCACTTGCAAACTCCACAAAAAGAGTGTTTCAAATCTGCTCTGTGTAAAGGGACGTTGCACTCTGTGAGTTGAATACACACAGCACAAAGAAGTTACTGAGAATTCTTCTGTCTAGCATGAAATGAAGAAATCCCGTTTCCAACGAAGGCCTCAATGCGGTCCATAGATCCACTTGCAGACTTTACAAACAGAGTGTTTCCAAACTGCTCTATGAAAAGAAAGGTTAAACTATGTGAGTTGAACGCACACATCACAAAGAATTTTCTGAGAATGATTCTGTCTGGTTTTTATTTGAAGATATTTCCCTTTCTACTGTTGGCATCAAATGGCTAGAAATCTCCACTTGCAAATTCCGCAAAAAGAGTGTTTCAAATCTGCTCTGTCTAAAGGGACCTTCCACTCTGTGAGTTGAATGCACACAACACAAAGAATTTACTGAGAATTCTTCCGTCTAGCATTCAATGAAGAAATCCCGTTTCCAACGAAGGCCTCAAACAGGTCCATATATCCACTTGCAGACTTTACAAACAGTGTGTTTCCAAACTCCTCTATGAAAAGAAAGGTTAAACTCTGTGAGTTGAACGCACACATCACAAAGCACTTTCTGAGAATGATTCTGTCTGGTTATTATACGAAGATATTTCCTTTTCTGCAATTGTCCTCAAATCGCTTGAAATCTCCACCTGAAAATGCCACAGCAAGAGTGTTTCAAATCTGCTCTCTCTAAAGCAAGGTTCAACTCTGTGAGTTGAATACACACAACACAAAAAAGTTACTGAGAACTCTTCTTAGTCTAGCATGAAAGGAAGAAACCCCGTTTGCAACGAAGGCCTCAAAGAGGTCCAAATATCCACTTGCAGACATAACAAGCAGAGTGTTTCTAAACTGCTCTAAGAAAAGAAAGGTTAAACTCTGTGAGTTGAAGGCACACATCACAAAGTAGTTTCTGAGAATGATTCTGTCTAGTTTTTATTTGAAGATATTTCCTTTTCTACTGTTGGCATCAAATCGCTTGAAATCTCCACTTGCAAATTCCACAAAAAGAGTGTTTCAAATCTGCTCTGTGCAAAGGGACGTTCCACTCTGTGAGTTGAATACACACAGCACAAAGAAGTTACTGAGAATTCTTCTGTCTAGCATGAAATGAAGAAATCCCGTTTCCAACGAAGGCCTCATTGCGGTCCATATATCCACTTGCAGACTTTACAAACAGAGTGTTTCCAAACTGCTCTATGAAAAGAAAGGTTAAACTATGTGAGTTGAACGCACACATCACAAAGAATTTTCTGAGAATGATTCTGTCTGGTTTTTATTTGAAGATATTTCCCTTTCTACTGTTGGCATCAAATGGCTAGAAATCTCCACTTGCAAATTCCGCAAAAAGAGTGTTTCAAATCTGCTCTGTCTAAAGGGACGTTCCACTCTGTGAGTTGAATGCACACAACACAAAGAATTTACTGAGAATTCTTCCGTCTAGCATTCAATGAAGAAATCCCGTTTCCAACGAAGGCCTCAAACAGGTCCATATATCCACTTGCAGACTTTACAAACAGTGTGTTTCCAAACTCCTTTATGAAAAGAAAGGTTAAACTCTGTGAGTTGAACGCACACATCACAAAGCACTTTCTGAGAATGATTCTGTCTGGTTATTATACGAAGATATTTCCTTTTCTGCAATTGTCCTCAAATCGCTTGAAATCTCCACCTGAAAATGCCACAGCAAGAGTGTTTCAAATCTGCTCTCTCTAAAGCAAGGTTCAACTCTGTGAGTTGAATACACACAACACAAAAAAGTTACTGAGAACTCTTCTTAGTCTAGCATTAAAGGAAGAAACCCCGTTTGCAACGAAGGCCTCAAAGAGGTCCAAATATCCACTTGCAGACATAACAAGCAGAGTGTTTCTAAACTGCTCTAAGAAAAGAAAGGTTAAACTCTGTGAGTTGAAGGCACACATCACAAAGTAGTTTCTGAGAATGATTCTGTCTAGTTTTTATTTGAAGATATTTCCTTTTCTACTGTTGGCATCAAATCGCTTGAAATCTCCACTTGCAAATTCCACAAAAAGAGTGTTTCAAATCTGCTCTGTGTAAAGGGACGTTCCACTCTGTGAGTTGAATACACACAGCACAAAGAAGTTACTGAGAATTCTTCTGTCTAGCATGAAATGAAGAAATCCCGTTTCCAACGAAGGCCTCAATGCGGTCCATATATCCACTTGCAGACTTTACCAACAGAGTGTTTCCAAACTGCTCTATGAAAAGAAAGGTTAAACTATGTGAGTTGAACGCACACATCCCAAAGAATTTTCTGAGAATGATTCTGTCTGGTTTTTATTTGAAGATATTTCCCTTTCTACTGTTGGCCATCAAATGGCTAGAAATCTCCACTTGCAAATTCCGCAAAAAGAGTGTTTCAAATCTGCTCTGTCTAAAGGGACGTTCCACTCTGTGAGTTGAATGCACACAACACAAAGAATTTACTGAGAATTCTTCCGTCTAGCATTATATGATAAAATCCCGTTTCCAACGAAGGCCTCAAACAGGTCCATATATCCACTTGCAGACTTTACAAACAGTGTGTTTCCAAACTCCTCTATGAAAAGAAAAGTAAAACTCTGTGAGTTGAACGCACACATCACAAAGCACTTTCTGAGAATGATTCTGTCTAGTTTTTATTTGCAGATATTTCCTTTCTACTGTTGGCATCAAATCGCTTGAAATCTCCACTTGCAAATTCCAAAAATAGAGTGTTTCAAATCTGCTTTGTATAAAGGGACGTTCCAATCTGTGAGTTGAATACTCACAACACAAAGAAGATACTGAGAATTCTTCTTAGTCTAGCATGAAAGGAAGAAACCCCGTTTGCAACGAAGGCCTCAAAGAGGTCCAAATATCCAGTTGCAGACATAACAAGCAGAGTGTTTCTAAACTGCTCTAAGAAAAGAAAGGTTAAACTCTGTGAGTTGAAGGCACACATCACAAAGTAGTTTCTGAGAATGGTTTCTGTCTAGTTTTTATTTGAAGATATTTCCTTTTCTACTGTTGGCATCAAATCGCTTGAAATCTCCACTTTCAAATTCCACAAAAAGAGTGTTTCAAATCTGCTCTGTGCAAAGGGACGTTCCACTCTGTGAGTTGAATACACACAGCACAAAGAAGTTACTGAGAATTCTTCTGTCTAGCATGAAATGAAGAAATCCCGTTTCCAACGAAGGCCTCAATGCGGTCCATATATCCACTTGCAGACTTTACAAACAGAGTGTTTCCAAACTGCTCTATGAAAAGAAAGGTTAAACTATGTGAGTTGAACGCACACATCACAAAGAATTTTCTGAGAATGATTCTGTCTGGTTTTTATTGGAAGATATTTCCCTTTCTACTGTTGGCATCAAATGGCTAGAAATCTCCACTTGCAAATTCCGCAAAAAGAGTGTTTCAAATCTGCTCTGTCTAAAGGGACGTTCCACTCTGTGAGTTGAATGCACACAACACAAAGAATTTACTGAGAATTCTTCCGTCTAGCATTCAATGAAGAAATCCCGTTTCCAACGAAGGCCTCAAACAGGTCCATATATCCACTTGCAGACTTTACAAACAGTGTGTTTCCAAACTCCTCTATGAAAAGAAAGGTTAAACTCTGTGAGTGGAACGCACACATCACAAAGCACTTTCTGAGAATGATTCTGTCTGGTTATTATACGAAGATATTTCCTTTTCTGCAATTGTCCTCAAATCGCTTGAAATCTCCACCTGAAAATGCCACAGCAAGAGTGTTTCAAATCTGCTCTCTCTAAAGCAAGGTTCAACTCTGTGAGTTGAATACACACAACACAAAAAAGTTACTGAGAACTCTTCTTAGTCTAGCATGAAAGGAAGAAACCCCGTTTGCAACGAAGGCCTCAAAGAGGTCCAAATATCCACTTGCAGACATAACAAGCAGAGTGTTTCTAAACTGCTCTAAGAAAAGAAAGGTTAAACTCTGTGAGTTGAAGGCACACATCACAAAGTAGTTTCTGAGAATGATTCTGTCTAGTTTTTATTTGAAGATATTTCCTTTTCTACTGTTGGCATCAAATCGCTTGAAATCTCCACTTGCAAACTCCACAAAAAGAGTGTTTCAAATCTGCTCTGTGCAAAGGGACGTTCCACTCTGTGAGTTGAATACACACAGCACAAAGAAGTTACTGAGAATTCTTCTGTCTAGCATGAAATGAAGAAATCCCGTTTCCAACGAAGGCCTCAATGCGGTCCATATATCCACTTGCAGACTTTACAAACAGAGTGTTTCCAAACTGCTCTATGAAAAGAAAGGTTAAACTATGTGAGTTGAACGCACACATCACAAAGAATTTTCTGAGAATGATTCTGTCTGGTTTTTATTTGAAGATATTTCCCTTTCTACTGTTGGCATCAAATGGCTAGAAATCTCCACTTGCAAATTCCGCAAAAAAAGTGTTTCAAATCTGCTCTGTCTAAAGGGACGTTCCACTCTGTGAGTTGAATGCACACAACACAAAGAATTTACTGAGAATTCTTCCGTCTAGCATTCAATGAAGAAATCCCGTTTCCAACGAAGGCCTCAAACAGGTCCATATATCCAATTGCAAACTTTACAAACAGTGTGTTTCCAAACTCCTCTATGAAAAGAAAGGTTAAACTCTGTGAGTTGAACGCACACATCACAAAGCACTTTCTGAGAATTATTCTGTCTGGTTATTATACGAAGATATTTCCTTTTCTGCAATTGTCCTCAAATCGCTTGAAATCTCCACCTGAAAATGCCACAGCAAGAGTGTTTCAAATCTGCTATCTCTAAAGCAAGGTTCAACTCTGTGAGTTGAATACACACAACACAAAAAAGTTACTGAGAACTCTTCTTAGTCTAGCATTAAAGGAAGAAACCCCGTTTGCAACGAAGGCCTCAAAGAGGTCCAAATATCCACTTGCAGACATAACATGCAGAGTGTTTCTAAACTGCTCTAAGAAAAGAAAGGTTAAACTCTGTGAGTTGAAGGCACACATCACAAAGTAGTTTCTGAGAATGATTCTGTCTGGTTTTTATTTGAAGATATTTCCCTTTCTACTGTTGGCATCAAATGGCTAGAAATCTCCACTTGCAAATTCCGCAAAAAGAGTGTTTCAAATCTGCTCTGTCTAAAGGGACGTTCCACTCTGTGAGTTGAATGCACACAACACAAAGAATTTACTGAGAATTCTTCCGTCTAGCATTCAATGAAGAAATCCCGTTTCCAACGAAGGCCTCAAACAGGTCCATATATCCAATTGCAGACTTTACAAACAGTGTGTTTCCAAACTCCTCTATGAAAAGAAAGGTTAAACTCTGTGAGTTGAACGCACACAACACAAAGCACTTTCTGAGAATGATTCTGTCTGGTTATTATACGAAGATATTTCCTTTTCTGCAATTGTCCTCAAATCGTTTGAAATCTCCACCTGATAATGCCACAGCGAGAGTGTTTCAAATCTGCTCTCTCTAAAGCAAGGTTCAACTCTGTGAGTTGAATACACACAACACAAAAAAGTTACTGAGAACTCTTCTTAGTCTAGCATTAAAGGAAGAAACCCCGTTTGCAACGAAGGCCTCAAAGAGGTCCAAATATCCACTTGCAGACATAACAAGCAGAGTGTTTCTAAGCTGCTCTAAGAAAAGAAAGGTTAAACTCTGTGAGTTGAAGGCACACATCACAAAGTAGTTTCTGAGAATGATTCTGTCTAGTTTTTATTTGAAGATATTTCCTTTTCTACTGTTGGCATAAAATCGCTTGAAATCTCCACTTGCAAACTCCACAAAAAGAGTGTTTCAAATCTGCTCTGTGTAAAGGGACGTTGCACTCTGTGAGTTGAATACACACAGCACAAAGAAGTTACTGAGAATTCTTCTGTCTAGCATGAAATGAAGAAATCCCGTTTCCAACGAAGGCCTCAATGCGGTCCATATATCCACTTGCAGACTTTACAAACAGAGTGTTTCCAAACTGCTCTATGAAAAGAAAGGTTAAACTATGTGAGTTGAACGCACACATCACAAAGAATTTTCTGAGAATGATTCTGTCTGGTTTTTATTTGAAGATATTTCCCTTTCTACTGTTGGCATCAAATGGCTAGAAATCTCCACTTGCAAATTCCGCAAAAAGAGTGTTTCAAATCTGCTCTGTCTAAAGGGACGTTCCACTCTGTGAGTTGAATGCACACAACACAAAGAATTTACTGAGAATTCTTCCGTCTAGCATTCAATGAAGAAATCCCGTTTCCAACGAAGGCCTCAAACAGGTCCATATATCCAATTGCAGACTTTACAAACAGTGTGTTTCCAAACTGCTCTATGAAAAGAAAGGTTAAACTCTGTGAGTGGAACGCACACATCACAAAGCACTTTCTGAGAATGATTCTGTCTGGTTATTATACGAAGATATTTCCTTTTCTGCAATTGTCCTCCAATCGCTTGAAATCTCCAACTGAAAATGCCACAGCAAGTGTTTCAAATCTGCTTTCTCTAAAGCAAGGTTCAACTCTGTGAGTTGAATACACACAACACAAAAAAGTTACTGAGAACTCTTCTTAGTCTAGCATGAAAGGAAGAAACCCCGTTTGCAACGAAGGCCTCAAAGAGGTCCAAATATCCACTTGCAGACATAACAAGCAGAGTGTTTCTAAACTGCTCTAAGAAAAGAAAGGTTGAACTCAGTGAGTTGAAGGCACACATCACAAAGTAGTTTCTGAGAATGATTCTGTCTAGTTTTTATTTGAAGATATTTCCTTTTCTACTGTTGGCATCAAATCGCTTGAAATCTCCACTTGCAAACTCCACAAAAAGAGTGTTTCAAATCTGCTCTGTGTAAAGGGACGTTCCACTCTGTGAGTTGAATACACACAGCACAAAGAAGTTACTGAGAATTCTTCTGTCTAGCATGAAATGAAGAAATCCCGTTTCCAACGAAGGCCTCAATGCGGTCCATAGATCCACTTGCAGACTTTACAAACAGAGTGTTTCCAAACTGCTCTATGAAAAGAAAGGTTAAACTATGTGAGTTGAACGCACACATCACAAAGAATTTTCTGAGAATGATTCTGTCTGGTTTTTATTTGAAGATATTTCCCTTTCTACTGTTGGCATCAAATGGCTAGAAATCTCCACTTGCAAATTCCGCAAAAAGAGTGTTTCAAATCTGCTCTGTCTAAAGGGACGTTCCACTCTGTGAGTTGAATGCACACAACACAAAGAATTTACTGAGAATTCTTCCGTCTAGCATTCAATGAAGAAATCCCGTTTCCAACGAAGGCCTCAAACAGGTCCATATATCCACTTGCAGACTTTACAAACAGTGTGTTTCCAAACTCCTCTATGAAAAGAAAGGTTAAACTCTGTGAGTTGAACACACACATCACAAAGCACTTTCTGAGAATGATTCTGTCTGGTTATTATACGAAGATATTTCCTTTTCTGCAATTGTCCTCAAATCGCTTGAAATCTCCACCTGAAAATGCCACAGCAAGAGTGTTTCAAATCTGCTCTCTCTAAAGCAAGGTTCAACTCTGTGAGTTGAATACACACAACACAAAAAAGTTACTGAGAACTCTTCTTAGTCTAGCATGAAAGGAAGAAACCCCGTTTGCAACGAAGGCCTCAAAGAGGTCCAAATATCCACTTGCAGACATAACAAGCAGAGTGTTTCTAAACTGCTCTAAGAAAAGAAAGGTTAAACTCTGTGAGTTGAAGGCACACATCACAAAGTAGTTTCTGAGAATGATTCTGTCTAGTTTTTATTTGAAGATATTTCCTTTTCTACTGCTGGCATCAAATCGCTTGAAATCTCCACTTGCAAACTCCACAAAAAGAGTGTTTCAAATCTGCTCTGTGTAAAGGGACGTTCCACTCTGTGAGTTGAATACACACAGCACAAAGAAGTTACTGAGAATTCTTCTGTCTAGCATGAAATGAAGAAATCCCGTTTCCAACGAAGGCCTCAATGCGGTCTATATATCCACTTGCAGACTTTACAAACAGAGTGTTTCCAAACTGCTCTATGAAAAGAAAGGTTAAACTATGTGAGTTGAACGCACACATCACAAAGAATTTTCTGAGAATGATTCTGTCTGGTTTTTATTTGAAGATATTTCCCTTTCTACTGTTGGCATCAAATGGCTAGAAATCTCCACTTGCAAATTCCGCAAAAAGAGTGTTTCAAATCTGCTCTGTCTAAAGGGACGTTCCACTCTGTGAGTTGAATGCACACAACACAAAGAATTTACTGAGAATTCTTCCGTCTAGCATTCAATGAAGAAATCCCGTTTCCAAAGAAGGCCTCAAACAGGTCCATATATCCAATTGCAGACTTTACAAACAGTGTGTTTCCAAACTCCTCTATGAAAAGAAAGGTTAAACTCTGTGAGTTGAACGCACACATCACAAAGCACTTTCTGAGAATGATTCTGTCTGGTTATTATACGAAGATATTTCCTTTTCTGCAATTGTCCTCAAATCGCTTGAAATCTCCACCTGAAAATGCCACATCAAGAGTGTTTCAAATCTGCTCTCTCTAAAGCAAGGTTCAACTCTGTGAGTTGAATACACACAACACAAAAAAGTTACTGAGAACTCTTCTTAGTCTAGCATGAAAGGAAGAAACCCCGTTTGCAACGAAGGCCTCAAAGAGGTCCAAATATCCACTTGCAGACATAACAAGCAGAGTGTTTCTAAACTGCTCTAAGAAAAGAAAGGTTAAACTCTGTGAGTTGAAGGCACACATCACAAAGTAGTTTTTGAGAATGATTCTGTCTAGTTTTTATTTGAAGATATTTCCTTTTCTACTGTTGGCATCAAATCGCTTGAAATCTCCACTTGCAAACTCCACAAAAAGAGTGTTTCAAATCTGCTCTGTGCAAAGGGACGTTCCACTCTGTGAGTTGAATACACACAGCACAAAGAAGTTACTGAGAATTCTTCTGTCTAGCATGAAATGAAGAAATCCCGTTTCCAACGAAGGCCTCAATGCGGTCCATAGATCCACTTGCAGACTTTACAAACAGAGTGTTTCCAAACTGCTCTATGAAAAGAAAGGTTAAACTATGTGAGTTGAACGCACACATCACAAAGAATTTTCTGAGAATGATTCTGTCTGGTTTTTATTTGAAGATATTTCCCTTTCTACTGTTGGCATCAAATGGCTAGAAATCTCCACTTGCAAATTCCGCAAAAAGAGTGTTTCAAATCTGCTCTGTCTAAAGGGACGTTCCACTCTGTGAGTTGAATGCACACAACACAAAGAATTTACTGAGAATTCTTCCGTCTAGCATTCAATGAAGAAATCCCGTTTCCAACGAAGGCCTCAAACAGGTCCATATATCCACTTGCAGACTTTACAAACAGTGTGTTTCCAAACTCCTCTATGGAAAGAAAAGTTAAACTCTGTGAGTTGAACGCACACATCACAAAGCACTTTCTGAGAATGATTCTGTCTGGTTATTATACGAAGATATTTCCTTTTCTGCAATTGTCCTCAAAACGCTTGAAATCTCCACCTGAAAATGCCACAGCAAGAGTGTTTCAAATCTGCTCTCTCTAAAGCAAGGTTCAACTCTGTGAGTTGAATACACACAACACAAAAAAGTTACTGAGAACTCTTCTTAGTCTAGCATGAAAGGAAGAAACCCCGTTTGCAACGAAGGCCTCAAAGAGGTCCAAATATCCACTTGCAGACATAACAAGCAGAGTGTTTCTAAACTGCTCTAAGAAAAGAAAGGTTAAACTCTGTGAGTTGAAGGCACACATCACAAAGTAGTTTCTGAGAATGATTCTGTCTAGTTTTTATTTGAAGATATTTCCTTTTCTACTGTTGGCATCAAATCGCTTGAAATCTCCACTTGCAAACTCCACAAAAAGAGTGTTTCAAATCTGCTCTGTGTAAAGGGACGTTCCACTCTGTGAGTTGAATACACACAGCACAAAGAAGTTACTGAGAATTCTTCTGTCTAGCATGAAATGAAGAAATCCCGTTTCCAACGAAGGCCTCAATGCGGTCCATATATCCACTTGCAGACTTTACAAACAGAGTGTTTCCAAACTGCTCTATGAAAAGAAAGGTTAAACTATGTGAGTTGAACGCACACATCACAAAGAATTTTCTGAGAATGATTCTGTCTGGTTTTTATTTGAAGATATTTCCCTTTCTACTGTTGGCATCAAATGGCTAGAAATCTCCACTTGCAAATTCCGCAAAAAGAGTGTTTCAAATCTGCTCTGTCTAAAGGGACGTTCCACTCTGTGAGTTGAATGCACACAACACAAAGAATTTACTGAGAATTCTTCCGTCTAGCATTCAATGAAGAAATCCCGTTTCCAACGAAGGCCTCAAAGAGGTCCATATATCCACTTGCAGACTTTACAAACAGTGTGTTTCCAAACTCCTCTATGAAAAGAAAGGTTAAACTCTGTGAGTGGAACGCACACATCACAAAGCACTTTCTGAGAATGATTCTGTCTGGTTATTATACGAAGATATTTCCTTTTCTGCAATTGTCCTCAAATCGCTTGAAATCTCCACCTGAAAATGCCACAGCAAGAGTGTTTCAAATCTGCTCTCTCTAAAGCAAGGTTCAACTCTGTGAGTTGAATACACACAACACAAAAAAGTTACTGAGAACTCTTCTTAGTCTAGCATGAAAGGAAGAAACCCCGTTTGCAACGAAGGCCTCAAAGAGGTCCAAATATCCACTTGCAGACATAACAAGCAGAGTGTTTCTAAACTGCTCTAAGAAAAGAAAGGTTAAACTCTGTGAGTTGAAGGCACACATCACAAAGTAGTTTCTGAGAATGATTCTGTCTAGTTTTTATTTGAAGATATTTCCTTTTCTACTGTTGGCATCAAATCGCTTGAAATCTCCACTTGCAAACTCCACAAAAAGAGTGTTTCAAATCTGCTCTGTGTAAAGGGACGTTCCACTCTGTGAGTTGAATACACACAGCACAAAGAAGTTACTGAGAATTCTTCTGTCTAGCATGAAATGAAGAAATCCCGTTTCCAACGAAGGCCTCAATGCGGTCCATATATCCACTTGCAGACTTTACAAACAGAGTGTTTCCAAACTGCTCTATGAAAAGAAAGGTTAAACTATGTGAGTTGAATGCACACATCACAAAGAATTTTCTGAGAATGATTCTGTCTGGTTTTTATTTGAAGATATTTCCCTTTCTACTGTTGGCATCAAATGGCTGGAAATCTCCACTTGCAAATTCCGCAAAAAGAGTGTTTCAAATCTGCTCTGTCTAAAGGGACGTTCCACTCTGTGAGTTGAATGCACACAACACAAAGAATTTACTGAGAATTCTTCCGTCTAGCATTCAATGAAGAAATCCCGTTTCCAACGAAGGCCTCAAACAGGTCCATATATCCAATTGCAGACTTTACAAACAGTGTGTTTCCAAACTCCTCTATGAAAAGAAAGGTTAAACTCTGTGAGTTGAACGCACACATCACAAAGCACTTTCTGAGAATGATTCTGTCTGGTTATTATACGAAGATATTTCCTTTTCTGCAATTGTCCTCAAATCGCTTGAAATCTCCACCTGAAAATGCCACAGCAAGAGTGTTTCAAATCTGCTCTCTCTAAAGCAAGGTTCAACTCTGTGAGTTGAATACACACAACACAAAAAAGTTACTGAGAACTCTTCTTAGTCTAGCATTAAAGGAAGAAACCCCGTTTGCAACGAAGGCCTCAAAGAGGTCCAAATATCCACTTGCAGACATAACAAGCACAGTGTTTCTAAAGTGCTCTAAGAAAAGAAAGGTTAAACTCTGTGAGTTGAAGGCACACATCACAAAGTAGTTTCTGAGAATGATTCTGTCTAGTTTTTATTTGAAGATATTTCCTTTTCTACTGTTGGCATCAAATCGCTTGAAATCTCCACTTGCAAACTCCACAAAAAGAGTGTTTCAAATCTGCTCTGTGTAAAGGGACGTTCCACTCTGTGAGTTGAATACACACAGCACAAAGAAGTTACTGAGAATTCTTCTGTCTAGCATGAAATGAAGAAATCCCGTTTCCAACGAAGGCCTCAATGCGGTCCATATATCCACTTGCAGACTTTACAAACAGAGTGTTTCCAAACTGCTCTATGAAAACAAAGGTTAAACTATGTGAGTTGAACGCACACATCACAAAGAATTTTCTGAGAATGATTCTGTCTGGTTTTTATTTGAAGATATTTCCCTTTCTACTGTTGGCATCAAATGGCTAGAAATCTCCACTTGCAAATTCCGCAAAAAGAGTGTTTCAAATCTGCTCTGTCTAAAGGGACGTTCCACTCTGTGAGTTGAATGCACACAACACAAAGAATTTACTGAGAATTCTTCCGTCTAGCATTCAATGAAGAAATCCCGTTTCCAACGAAGGCCTCAAACAGGTCCATATATCCACTTGCAGACTTTACAAACAGTGTGTTTCCAAACTCCTCTATGAAAAGAAAGGTTAAACTCTGTGAGTTGAACGCACACATCACAAAGCACTTTCTGAGAATGATTCTGTCTGGTTATTATACGAAGATATTTCCTTTTCTGCAATTGTCCTCAAATCTCTTGAAATCTCCACCTGAAAATGCCACAGCAAGAGTGTTTCAAATCTGCTCTCTCTAAAGCAAGGTTCAACTCTGTGAGTTGAATACACACAACACAAAAAAGTTACTGAGAACTCTTCTTAGTCTAGCATGAAAGGAAGAAACCCCGTTTGCAACGAAGGCCTCAAAGAGGTCCAAATATCCACTCGCAGACATAACAAGCAGAGTGTTTCTAAACTGCTCTAAGAAAAGAAAGGTTAAACTCTGTGAGTTGAAGGCACACATCACAAAGTAGTTTCTGAGAATGATTCTGTCTAGTTTTTATTTGAAGATATTTCCTTTTCTACTGTTGACATCAAATCGTTTGAAATCTTCACTTGCAAACTCCACAAAAAGAGTGTTTCAAATCTGCTCTGTGTAAAGGGACGTTCCACTCTGTGAGTTGAATACACACAGCACAAAGAAGTTGCTGAGAATTCTTCTGTCTAGCATGAAATGAAGAAATCCCGTTTCCAACGAAGGCCTCAATGCGGTCCATATATCCACTTGCAGACTTTACAAACAGAGTGTTTCCAAACTGCTCTATGAAAAGAAAGGTTAAACTATGTGAGTTGAACGCACACATCACAAAGAATTTTCTGAGAATGATTCTGTCTGGTTTTTATTTGAAGATGTTTCCCTTTCTACTGTTGGCATCAAATGGCTAGAAATCTCCACTTGCAAATTCCGCAAAAAGAGTGTTTCAAATCTGCTCTGTCTAAAGGGACGTTCCACTCTGTCAGTTGAATGCACACAACACAAAGAATTTACTGAGAATTCTTCCGTCTAGCATGCAATGAAGAAATCCCGTTTCCAACGAAGGCCTCAAACAGGTCCATATATCCAATTGCAGACTTTACAAACAGTGTGTTTCCAAACTCCTCTATGAAAAGAAAGGTTAAACTCTGTGAGTTGAACGCACACATCACAAAGCACTTTCTGAGAATGATTCTGTCTGGTTATTATACGAAGATATTTCCTTTTCTGCAATTGTCCTCAAATCGCTTGAAATCTCCACCTGAAAATGCCACAGCAAGAGTGTTTCAAATCTGCTCTCTCTAAAGCAAGGTTCAACTCTGTGAGTTGAATACACACAACACAAAAAAGTTACTGAGAACTCTTCTTAGTCTAGCATTAAAGGAAGAAACCCCGTTTGCAACGAAGGCCTCAAAGAGGTCCAAATATCCACTTGCAGACATAACAAGCAGAGTGTTTCTAAACTGCTCTAAGAAAAGAAAGGTTAAACTCTGTGAGTTGAAGGCACACATCACAAAGTAGTTTCTGAGAATGATTCTGTCTAGTTTTTATTTGAAGATATTTCCTTTTCTACTGTTGGCATCAAATCGCTTGAAATCTCCACTTGCAAATTCCACAAAAAGAGTGTTTCAAATCTGCTCTGTGCAAAGGGACGTTCCACTCTGTGAGTTGAATACACACAGCACAAAGAAGTTACTGAGAATTCTTCTGTCTAGCATGAAATGAAGAAATCCCGTTTCCAACGAAGGCCTCAATGCGGTCCATATATCCACTTGCAGACTTTACAAACAGAGTGTTTCCAAACTGCTCTATGAAAAGAAAGGTTAAACTATGTGAGTTGAACGCACACATCACAAAGAATTTTCTGAGAATGATTCTGTCTGGTTTTTATTTGAAGATATTTCCCTTTCTACTGTTGGCATCAAATGGCTAGAAATCTCTACTTGCAAATTCCGCAAAAAGAGTGTTTAAAATCTGCTCTGTCTAAAGGGACGTTCCACTCTGTGAGTTGAATGCACACAACACAAAGAATTTACTGAGAATTCTTCCGTCTAGCATTCAATGAAGAAATCCCGTTTCCAACGAAGGCCACAAACAGGTCCATATATCCACTTGCAGAGTTTACAAACAGTGTGTTTCCAAACTCCTCTATGAAAAGAAAGGTTAAACTCTGTGAGTGGAACGCACACATCACAAAGCACTTTCTGAGAATGATTCTGTCTGGTTATTATACGAAGATATTCCCTTTTCTGCAATTTTCCTCAAATCGCTTGAAATCTCCACCTGAAAATGCCACAGCAAGAGTGTTTCAAATCTGCTCTCTCTAAAGCAAGGTTCAACTCTGTGAGTTGAATACACACAGCACAAAGAAGTTACTGAGAATTCTTCTGTCTAGCATGAAATGAAGAAATCCCGTTTCCAACGAAGGCCTCAATGCGGTCCATATATCCACTTGCAGACTTTACAAACAGAGTGTTTCCAAACTGCTCTATGAAAAGAAAGGTTAAACTATGTGAGTTGAACGCACACATCACAAAGAATTTTCTGAGAATGATTCTGTCTGGTTTTTATTTGAAGATATTTCCCTTTCTACTGTTGGCATCAAATGGCTAGAAATCTCCACTTGCAAATTCCGCAAAAAGAGTGTTTCAAATCTGCTCTGTCTAAAGGGACGTTCCACTCTGTGAGTTGAATGCACACAACACAAAGAATTTACTGAGAATTCTTCCGTCTAGCATTCAATGAAGAAATCCCGTTTCCAACGAAGGCCTCAAACAGGTCCATATATCCACTTGCAGACTTTACAAACAGTGTGTTTCCAAACTCCTCTATGAAAAGAAAGGTTAAACTCTGTGAGTGGAACGCACACATCACAAAGCACTTTCTGAGAATGATTCTGTCTGGTTATTATACGAAGATATTTCCTTTTCTGCAATTGTCCTCAAATCGCTTGAAATCTCCACCTGAAAATGCCACAGCAAGAGTGTTTCAAATCTGCTCTCTCTAAAGCAAGGTTCAACTCTGTGAGTTGAATACACACAACACAAAAAAGTTACTGAGAACTCTTCTTAGTCTAGCATGAAAGGAAGAAACCCCGTTTGCAACGAAGGCCTCAAAGAGGTCCAAATATCCACTTGCAGACATAACAAGCAGAGTGTTTCTAAAGTGCTCTAAGAAAAGAACGGTTAAACTCTGTGAGTTGAAGGCACACATCACAAAGTAGTTTCTGAGAATGATTCTGTCTAGTTTTTATTTGAAGATATTTCCTTTTCTACTGTTGGCATCAAATCGCTTGAAATCTCCACTTGCAAACTCCACAAAAAGAGTGTTTCAAATCTGCTCTGTGTAAAGGGACGTTCCACTCTGTGAGTTGAATACACACAGCACAAAGAAGTTACTGAGAATTCTTCTGTCTAGCATGAAATGAAGAAATCCCGTTTCCAACGAAGGCCTCAATGCGGTCCATATATCCACTTGCAGACTTTACAAACAGAGTGTTTCCAAACTGCTCTATGAAAAGAAAGGTTAAACTATGTGAGTTGAACGCACACATCACAAAGAATTTTCTGAGAATGATTCTGTCTGGTTTTTATTTGAAGATATTTCCCTTTCTACTGTTGGCATCAAATGGCTAGAAATCTCCACTTGCAAATTCCGCAAAAAGAGTGTTTCAAATCTGCTCTGTCTAAAGGGACGTTCCACTCTGTGAGTTGAATGCACACAACACAAAGAATTTACTGAGAATTCTTCCGTCTAGCATTCAATGAAGAAATCCCGTTTCCAACGAAGGCCTCAAACAGGTCCATATATCCAATTGCAGACTTTACAAACAGTGTGTTTCCAAACTCCTCTATGAAAAGAAAGGTTAAACTCTGTGAGTTGAACGCACACAACACAAAGCACTTTCTGAGAATGATTCTGTCTGGTTATTATACGAAGATATTTCCTTTTCTGCAATTGTCCTCAAATCGCTTGAAATCTCCACCTGAAAATTCCACAGCGAGAGTGTTTCAAATCTGCTCTCTCTAAAGCAAGGTTCAACTCTGTGAGTTGAATACACACAACACAAAAAAGTTACTGAGAACTCTTCTTAGTCTAGCATTAAAGGAAGAAACCCCGTTTGCAACGAAGGCCTCAAAGAGGTCCAAATATCCACTTGCAGACATAACAAGCAGAGTGTTTCTAAACTGCTCTAAGAAAAGAAAGGTTAAACTCTGTGAGTTGAAGGCACACATCACAAAGCAGTTTCTGAGAATGATTCTGTCTAGTTTTTATTTGAAGATATTTCCTTTTCTACTGTTGGCATCAAATCGCTTGAAATCTCCACTTGCAAACTCCACAAAAAGAGTGTTTCAAATCTGCTCTGTGCAAAGGGACGTTCCACTCTGTGAGTTGAATACACACAGCACAAAGAAGTTACTGAGAATTCTTCTGTCTAGCATGAAATGAAGAAATCCCGTTTCCAACGAAGGCCTCAATGCGGTCCATATATCCACTTGCAGACTTTACAAACAGAGTGTTTCCAAACTGCTCTATGAAAAGAAAGGTTAAACTATGTGAGTTGAACGCACACATCACAAAGAATTTTCTGAGAATGATTCTGTCTGGTTTTTATTTGAAGATATTTCCCTTTCTACTGTTGGCATCAAATGGCTAGAAATCTCCACTTGCAAATTCCGCAAAAAGAGTGTTTCAAATCTGCTCTGTCTAAAGGGACGTTCCACTCTGTGAGTTGAATGCACACAACACAAAGAATTTACTGAGAATTCTTCCGTCTAGCATTCAATGAAGAAATCCCGTTTCCAACGAAGGCCTCAAACAGGTCCATATATCCAATTGCAGACTTTACAAACAGTGTGTTTTCAAACTCCTCTATGAAAAGAAAGGTTAAGCTCTGTGAGTTGAACGCACACATCACAAAGCACTTTCTGAGAATGATTCTGTCTGGTTGTTATACGAAGATATTTCCTTTTCTGTAATTGTCCTCAAATCGCTTGAAATCTCCACCTGAAAATGCCACAGCAAGAGTGTTTCAAATCTGCTCTCTCTAAAGCAAGGTTCAACTCTGTGAGTTGAATACACACAACACAAAAAAGTTACTGAGAACTCTTCTTAGTCTAGCATTAAAGGAAGAAACCCCGTTTGCAACGAAGGCCTCAAAGAGGTCCAAATATCCACTTGCAGACATAACAAGCAGAGTGTTTCTAAACTGCTCTAAGAAAAGAAAGGTTAAATTCTGTGAGTTGAAGGCACACATCACAAAGTAGTTTCTGAGAATGATTCTGTCTAGTTTTTATTTGAAGATATTTCCTTTTCTACTGTTGGCATCAAATCGCTTGAAATCTCCACTTGCAAACTCCACAAAAAGAGTGTTTCAAATCTGCTCTGTGCAAAGGGACGTTCCACTCTGTGAGTTGAATACACACAGCACAAAGAAGTTACTGAGAATTCTTCTGTCTAGCATGAAATGAAGAAATCCCGTTTCCAACGAAGGCCTCAATGCGGTCCATATATCCACTTGCAGACTTTACAAACAGAGTGTTTCCAAACTGCTCTATGAAAAGAAAGGTTAAACTATGTGAGTTGAACGCACACATCACAAAGAATTTTCTGAGAATGATTCTGTCTGGTTTTTATTTGAAGATATTTCCCTTTCTACTGTTGGCATCAAATGGCTAGAAATCTCCACTTGCAAATTCCGCAAAAAGAGTGTTTCAAATCTGCTCTGTCTAAAGGGACGTTCCACTCTGTGAGTTGAATGCACACAACACAAAGAATTTACTGAGAATTCTTCCGTCTAGCATTCAATGAAGAAATCCCGTTTCCAACGAAGGCCTCAAACAGGTCCATATATCCACTTGCAGACTTTACAAACAGTGTGTTTCCAAACTCCTCTATGAAAAGAAAGGTTAAACTCTGTGAGTTGAACGCACACATCACAAAGCACTTTCTGAGAATGATTCTGTCTGGTTATTATACGAAGATATTTCCTTTTCTGCAATTGTCCTCAAATCGCTTGAAATCTCCACCTGAAAATGCCACAGCAAGAGTGTTTCAAATCTGCTCTCTCTAAAGCAAGGTTCAACTCTGTGAGTTGAATACACACAACACAAAAAAGTTACTGAGAACTCTTCTTAGTCTAGCATGAAAGGAAGAAACCCCGTTTGCAACGAAGGCCTCAAAGAGGTCCAAATATCCACTTGCAGACATAACAAGCAGAGTGTTTCTAAACTGCTCTAAGAAAAGAAAGGTTAAACTCTGTGAGTTGAAGGCACACATCACAAAGTAGTTTCTGAGAATGATTCTGTCTAGTTTTTATTTGAAGATATTTCCTTTTCTACTGTTGGCATCAAATCGCTTGAAATCTCCACTTGCAAACTCCACAAAAAGAGTGTTTCAAATCTGCTCTGTGCAAAGGGACGTTCCACTCTGTGAGTTGAATACACACAGCACAAAGAAGTTACTGAGAATTCTTCTGTCTAGCATGAAATGAAGAAATCCCGTTTCCAACGAAGGCCTCAATGCGGTCCATATATCCACTTGCAGACTTTACAAACAGAGTGTTTCCAAACTGCTCTATGAAAAGAAAGGTTAAACTATGTGAGTTGAACGCACACATCACAAAGAATTTTCTGAGAATGATTCTGTCTGGTTTTTATTTGAAGATATTTCCCTTTCTACTGTTGGCATCAAATGGCTAGAAATCTCCACTTGCAAATTCCGCAAAAAGAGTGTTTCAAATCTGCTCTGTCTAAAGGGACGTTCCACTCTGTGAGTTGAATGCACACAACACAAAGAATTTACTGAGAATTCTTCCGTCTAGCATTCAATGAAGAAATCCCGTTTCCAACGAAGGCCTCAAACAGGTCCATATATCCACTTGCAGACTTTACAAACAGTGTGTTTCCAAACTCCTCTATGAAAAGAAAGGTTAAACTCTGTGAGTGGAACGCACACATCACAAAGCACTTTCTGAGAATGATTCTGTCTGGTTGTTATACGAAGATATTTCCTTTTCTGCAATTGTCCTCAAATCGCTTGAAATCTCCACCTGAAAATGCCACAGCAAGAGTGTTTCAAATCTGCTCTCTCTAAAGCAAGGTTCAACTCTGTGAGTTGAATACACACAACACAAAAAAGTTACTGAGAACTCTTCTTAGTCTAGCATGAAAGGAAGAAACCCCGTTTGCAACGAAGGCCTCAAAGAGGTCCAAATATCCACTTGCAGACATAACAAGCAGAGTGTTTCTAAACTGCTCTAAGAAAAGAAAGGTTAAACTCTGTGAGTTGAAGGCACACATCACAAAGTAGTTTCTGAGAATGGTTCTGTCTAGTTTTTATTTGAAGATATTTCCTTTTCTACTGTTGGCATCAAATCGCTTGAAATCTCCACTTGCAAATTCCACAAAGAGAGTGTTTCAAATCTGCTCTGTGCAAACGGACGTTCCAGTCTGTGAGTTGAATACACACAGCACAGAGAAGTTACTGAGAATTCTTCTGTCTAGCATGAAATGAAGAAATCCCGTTTCCAACGAAGGCCTCAATGCGGTCCATATATCCACTTGCAGACTTTACAAACAGAGTGTTTCCAAACTGCTCTATGAAAAGAAAGGTTAAACTATGTGAGTTGAACGCACACATCACAAAGAATTTTCTGAGAATGATTCTGTCTGGTTTTTATTTGAAGATATTTCCCTTTCTACTGTTGGCATCAAATGGCTAGAAATCTCCACTTGCAAATTCCGCAAAAAGAGTGTTTCAAATCTGCTCTGTATAAAGGGACGTTCCACTCTGTCAGTTGAATGCACACAACACAAAGAATTTACTGAGAATTCTTCCGTCTAGCATTCAATGAAGAAATCTCGTTTCCAACGAAGGCCTCAAACAGGTCCATATATCCAATTGCAGACTTTACAAACAGTGTGTTTCCAAACTCCTCTATGAAAAGAAAGGTTAAACTCTGTGAGTTGAACGCACACATCACAAAGCACTTTCTGAGAATGATTCTGTCTAGTTTTTATTTGAAGATATTTCCCTTTCTACTGTTGGCATCAAATGGCTAGAAATCTCCACTTGCAACTTCCGCAAAAAGAGTGTTTCAAATCTGCTCTGTCTAAAGGGACGTTACACTGTGTGAGTTGAATGCACACAACACAAAGAATTTACTGAGAATTCTTCTTAGTCTAGCATGAAAGGAAGAAACCCCGTTTGCAACGAAGGCCTCAAAGAGGTCCAAATATCCACTTGCAGACATAACAAGCAGAGTGTTTCTAAACTGCTCTAAGAAAAGAAAGGTTAAACTCTGTGAGTTGAAGGCACACATCACAAAGTAGTTTCTGAGAATGATTCTGTCTAGTTTTTATTTGAAGATATTTCCTTTTCTACTGTTGGCATCAAATCGCTTGAAATCTCCACTTGCAAACTCCACAAAAAGAGTGTTTCAAATCTGCTCTGTGTAAAGGGACGTTCCACTCTGTGAGTTGAATACACACAGCACAAAGAAGTTACTGAGAATTCTTCTGTCTAGCATGAAATGAAGAAATCCCGTTTCCAACGAAGGCCTCAATGCGGTCCATATATCCACTTGCAGACTTTACAAACAGAGTGTTTCCAAACTGCTCTATGAAAAGAAAGGTTAAACTATGTGAGTTGAATGCACACATCACAAAGAATTTTCTGAGAATGATTCTGTCTGGTTTTTATTTGAAGATGTTTCCCTTTCTGCTGTTGGCATCAAATGGCTAGAAATCTCCACTTGCAAATTCCGCAAAAAGAGTGTTTCAAATCTGCTCTGTCTAAAGGGACGTTCCACTCTGTGAGTTGAATGCACACAACACAAAGAATTTACTGAGAATTCTTCCGTCTAGCATTCAATGAAGAAATCCCGTTTCCAACGAAGGCCTCAAACAGGTCCATATATCCAATTGCAGACTTTACAAACAGTGTGTTTCCAAACTCCTCTATGGAAAGAAAGGTTGAACTCTGTGAGTTGAACGCACACATCACAAAGCACTTTCTGAGAATGATTCTGTCTGGTTATTATACGAAGATATTTCCTTTTCTGCAATTGTCCTCAAATCGCTTGAAATCTCCACCTGAAAATGCCACAGCAAGAGTGTTTCAAATCTGCTCTCTCTAAAGCAAGGTTCAATTCTGTGAGTTGAATACACACAACACAAAACAGTTACTGAGAACTCTTCTTAGTCTAGCATGAAAGGAAGAAACCCCGTTTGCAACGAAGGCCTCAAAGAGGTCCAAATATCCACTTGCAGACATAACAAGCAGAGTGTTTCTAAACTGCTCTAAGAAAAGAAAGGTTAAACTCTGTGAGTTGAAGGCACACATCACAAAGTAGTTTCTGAGAATGATTCTGTCTAGTTTTTATTTGAAGATATTTCCTTTTCTACTGTTGACATCAAATCGTTTGAAATCTTCACTTGCAAACTCCACAAAAAGAGTGTTTCAAATCTGCTCTGTGTAAAGGGACGTTCCACTCTGTGAGTTGAATACACACAGCACAAAGAAGTTGCTGAGAATTCTTCTGTCTAGCATGAAATGAAGAAATCCCGTTTCCAACGAAGGCCTCAATGCGGTCCATATATCCACTTGCAGACTTTACAAACAGAGTGTTTCCAAACTGCTCTATGAAAAGAAAGGTTAAACTATGTGAGTTGAACGCACACATCACAAAGAATTTTCTGAGAATGATTCTGTCTGGTTTTTATTTGAAGATATTTCCCTTTCTACTGTTGGCATCAAATGGCTAGAAATCTCCACTTGCAAATTCCGCAAAAAGAGTGTTTCAAATCTGCTCTGTCTAAAGGGACGTTCCACTCTGTGAGTTGAATGCACACAACACAAAGAATTTACTGAGAATTCTTCCGTCTAGCATTCAATGAAGAAATCCCGTTTCCAACGAAGGCCTCAAACAGGTCCATATATCCAATTGCAGACTTTACAGTGTGTTTCCAAACTCCTCTATGAAAAGAAAGGTTAAACTCTGTGAGTTGAACGCACACATCACAAAGCACTTTCTGAGAATGATTCTGTCTGGTTATTATACGAAGATATTTCCTTTTCTGCAATTGTCCTCAAAACGCTTGAAATCTCCACCTGAAAATGCCACAGCAAGAGTGTTTCAAATCTGCTCTCTCTAAAGCAAGGTTCAACTCTGTGAGTTGAATACACACAACACAAAAAAGTTACTGAGAACTCTTCTTAGTCTAGCATTAAAGGAAGAAACCCCGTTTGCAACGAAGGCCTCAAAGAGGTCCAAATATCCACTTGCAGACATAACAAGCAGAGTGTTTCTAAACTGCTCTAAGAAAAGAAAGGTTAAACTCTGTGAGTTGAAGGCACACATCACAAAGTAGTTTCTGAGAATGATTCTGTCTAGTTTTTATTTGAAGATATTTCCTTTTCTACTGTTGGCATCAAATCGCTTGAAATCTCCACTTGCAAATTCCACAAAAAGAGTGTTTCAAATCTGCTCTGTGTAAAGGGACGTTCCACTCTGTGAGTTGAATACACACAGCACAAAGAAGTTACTGAGAATTCTTCTGTCTAGCATGAAATGAAGAAATCCCGTTTCCAACGAAGGCCTCAATGCGGTCTATATATCCACTTGCAGACTTTACAAACAGAGTGTTTCCAAACTGCTCTATGAAAAGAAAGGTTAAACTATGTGAGTTGAACGCACACATCACAAAGAATTTTCTGAGAATGATTCTGTCTGGTTTTTATTTGAAGATATTTCCCTTTCTACTGTTGGCATCAAATGGCTAGAAATCTCCACTTGCAAATTCCGCAAAAAGAGTGTTTCAAATCTGCTCTGTCTAAAGGGACGTTCCACTCTGTCAGTTGAATGCACACAACACAAAGAATTTACTGAGAATTCTTCCGTCTAGCATTCAATGAAGAAATCCCGTTTCCAACGAAGGCCTCAAACAGGTCCATATATCCACTTGCAGACTTTACAAACAGTGTGTTTCCAAACTCCTCTATGAAAAGAAAGGTTAAACTCTGTGAGTTGAACGCACACATCACAAAGCACTTTCTGAGAATGATTCTGTCTGGTTATTATACGAAGATATTTCCTTTTCTGCAATTGTCCTCAAATCGCTTGAAATCTCCACCTGAAAATGCCACAGCAAGAGTGTTTCAAATCTGCTCTCTCTAAAGCAAGGTTCAACTCTGTGAGTTGAATACACACAACACAAAAAAGTTACTGAGAACTCTTCTTAGTCTAGCATGAAAGGAAGAAACCCCGTTTGCAACGAAGGCCTCAAAGAGGTCCAAATATCCACTTGCAGACATAACAAGCAGAGTGTTTCTAAACTGCTCTAAGAAAAGAAAGGTTAAACTCTGTGAGTTGAAGGCACACATCACAAAGTAGTTTCTGAGAATGATTCTGTCTAGTTTTTATTTGAAGATATTTCCTTTTCTACTGTTGGCATCAAATCGCTTGAAATCTCCACTTGCAAACTCCACAAAAAGAGTGTTTCAAATCTGCTCTGTGCAAAGGGACGTTCCACTCTGTGAGTTGAATACACACAGCACAAAGAAGTTACTGAGAATTCTTCTGTCTAGCATGAAATGAAGAAATCCCGTTTCCAACGAAGGCCTCAATGCGGTCCATATATCCACTTGCAGACTTTACAAACAGAGTGTTTCCAAACTGCTCTATGAAAAGAAAGGTTAAACTATGTGAGTTGAACGCACACATCACAAAGAATTTTCTGAGAATGATTCTGTCTGGTTTTTATTTGAAGATATTTCCCTTTCTACTGTTGGCATCAAATGGCTAGAAATCTCCACTTGCAAATTCCGCAAAAAGAGTGTTTCAAATCTGCTCTGTCTAAAGGGACGTTCCACTCTGTCAGTTGAATGCACACAACACAAAGAATTTACTGAGAATTCTTCCGTCTAGCATTCAATGAAGAAATCCCGTTTCCAACGAAGGCCTCAAACAGGTCCATATATCCACTTGCAGACTTTACAAACAGTGTGTTTCCAAACTCCTCTATGAAAAGAAAGGTTAAACTCTGTGAGTGGAACGCACACATCACAAAGCACTTTCTGAGAATGATTCTGTCTGGTTATTATACGAAGATATTTCCTTTTCTGCAATTGTCCTCAAAACGCTTGAAATCTCCACCTGAAAATGCCACAGCAAGAGTGTTTCAAATCTGCTCTCTCTAAAGCAAGGTTCAACTCTGTGAGTTGAATACACACAACACAAAAAAGTTACTGAGAACTCTTCTTAGTCTAGCATGAAAGGAAGAAACCCCGTTTGCAACGAAGGCCTCAAAGAGGTCCAAATATCCACTTGCAGACATAACAAGCAGAGTGTTTCTAAACTGCTCTAAGAAAAGAAAGGTTAAACTCTGTGAGTTGAAGGCACACATCACAAAGTAGTTTCTGAGAATGATTCTGTCTAGTTTTTATTTGAAGATATTTCCTTTTCTACTGTTGGCATCAGATCGCTTGAAATCTCCACTTGCAAATTCCACAAAAAGAGTGTTTCAAATCTGCTCTGTGCAAAGGGACGTTCCACTCTGTGAGTTCAATACACACAGCACAAAGAAGTTACTGAGAATTCTTCTGTCTAGCATGAAATGAAGAAATCCCGTTTCCAACGAAGGCCTCAATGCGGTCCATATATCCACTTGCAGACTTTACAAACAGAGTGTTTCCAAACTGCTCTATGAAAAGAAAGGTTAAACTATGTGAGTTGAACGCACACATCACAAAGAATTTTCTGAGAATGATTCTGTCTGGTTTTTATTTGAAGATATTTCCCTTTCTACTGTTGGCATCAAATGGCTAGAAATCTCCACTTGCAAATTCCGCAAAAAGAGTGTTTCAAATCTGCTCTGTCTAAAGGGACGTTCCACTCTGTGAGTTGAATGCACACAACACAAAGAATTTACTGAGAATTCTTCCGTCTAGCATTCAATGAGGAAATCCCGTTTCCAAAGAAGGCCTCAAACAGGTCCATATATCCAATTGCAGACTTTACAAACAGTGTGTTTCCAAACTCCTCTATGAAAAGAAAGGTTAAACTCTGTGAGTTGAACGCACACATCACAAAGCACTTTCTGAGAATGATTCTGTCTGGTTATTATACGAAGATATTTCCTTTTCTGCAATTGTCCTCAAATCGCTTGAAATCTCCACCTGAAAATGCCACAGCAAGAGTGTTTCAAATCTGCTCTCTCTAAAGCAAGGTTCAACTCTGTGAGTTGAATACACACAACACAAAAAAGTTACTGAGAACTCTTCTTAGTCTAGCATGAAAGGAAGAAACCCCGTTTGCAACGAAGGCCTCAAAGAGGTCCAAATATCCACTTGCAGACATAACAAGCAGAGTGTTTCTAAACTGCTCTAAGAAAAGAAAGGTTAAACTCTGTGAGTTGAAGGCACACATCACAAAGTAGTTTCTGAGAATGATTCTGTCTAGTTTTTATTTGAAGATATTTCCTTTTCTACTGTTGGCATCAAATCGCTTGAAATCTCCACTTGCAAATTCCACAAAAAGAGTGTTTCTAATCTGCTCTGTGCAAAGGGACGTTCCACTCTGTGAGTTGAATACACACAGCACAAAGAAGTTACTGAGAATTCTTCTGTCTAGCATGAAATGAAGAAATCCCGTTTCCAACGAAGGCCTCAATGCGGTCCATATATCCACTTGCAGACTTTACAAACAGAGTGTTTCCAAACTGCTCTATGAAAAGAAAGGTTAAACTATGTGAGTTGAACGCACACATCACAAAGAATTTTCTGAGAATGATTCTGTCTGGTTTTTATTTGAAGATATTTCCCTTTCTACTGTTGGCATCAAATGGCTAGAAATCTCCACTTGCAAATTCCGCAAAAAGAGTGTTTCAAATCTGCTCTGTCTAAAGGGACGTTCCACTCTGTGAGTTGAATGCACACAACACAAAGAATTTACTGAGAATTCTTCCGTCTAGCATTCAATGAAGAAATCCCGTTTCCAACGAAGGCCTCAAACAGGTCCATATATCCACTTGCAGACTTTACAAACAGTGTGTTTCCAAACTCCTCTATGAAAAGAAAGGTTAAACTCTGTGAGTGGAACGCACACATCACAAAGCACTTTCTGAGAATGATTCTGTCTGGTTATTATACGAAGATATTTCCTTTTCTGCAATTGTCCTCAAATCGCTTGAAATCTCCACCTGAAAATGCCACAGCAAGAGTGTTTCAAATCTGCTCTCTCTAAAGCAAGGTTCAACTCTGTGAGTTGAATACACACAACACAAAAAAGTTACTGAGAACTCTTCTTAGTCTAGCATGAAAGGAAGAAACCCCGTATGCAACGAAGGCCTCAAAGAGGTCCAAATATCCACTTGCAGACATAACAAGCAGAGTGTTTCTAACCTGCTCTAAGAAAAGAAAGGTTAAACTCTGTGAGTTGAAGGCACACATCACAAAGTAGTTTCTGAGAATGATTCTGTCTAGTTTTTATTTGAAGATATTTCCTTTTCTACTGTTGGCATCAAATCGCTTGAAATCTCCACTTGCAAACTCCACAAAAAGAGTGTTTCAAATCTGCTCTGTGCAAAGGGACGTTCCACTCTGTGAGTTGAGTACACACAGCACAAAGAAGTTACTGAGAATTCTTCTGTCTAGCATGAAATGAAGAAATCCCGTTTCCAACGAAGGCCTCAATGCGGTCCATATATCCACTTGCAGACTTTACAAACAGAGTGTTTCCAAACTGCTCTATGAAAAGAAAGGTTAAACTATGTGAGTTGAACGCACACATCACAAAGAATTTTCTGAGAATGATTCTGTCTGGTTTTTATTTGAAGATATTTCCCTTTCTACTGTTGGCATCAAATGGCTAGAAATCTCCACTTGCAAATTCCGCAAAAAGAGTGTTTCAAATCTGCTCTGTCTAAAGGGACGTTCCACTCTGTGAGTTGAATGCACACAACACAAAGAATTTACTGAGAATTCTTCCGTCTAGCATTCAATGAAGAAATCCCGTTTCCAACGAAGGCCTCAAACAGGTCCATATATCCACTTGCAGACTTTACAAACAGTGTGTTTCCAAACTCCTCTATGAAAAGAAAGGTTAAACTCTGTGAGTGGAACGCACACATCACAAAGCACTTTCTGAGAATGATTCTGTCTGGTTATTATACGAAGATATTTCCTTTTCTGCAATTGTCCTCATATCGCTTGAAATCTCCACCTGAAAATGCCACAGCAAGAGTGTTTCAAATCTGCTCTCTCTAAAGCAAGGTTCAACTCTGTGAGTTGAATACACACAACACAAAAAAGTTACTGAGAACTCTTCTTAGTCTAGCATGAAAGGAAGAAACCCCGTTTGCAACGAAGGCCTCAAAGAGGTCCAAATATCCACTTGCAGACATAACAAGCAGAGTGTTTCTAAACTGCTCTAAGAAAAGAAAGGTTAAACTCTGTGAGTTGAAGGCACACATCACAAAGTAGTTTCTGAGAATGATTCTGTCTAGTTTTTATTTGAAGATATTTCCTTTTCTACTGTTGGCATCAAATCGCTTGAAATCTCCACTTGCAAACTCCACAAAAAGAGTGTTTCAAATCTGCTCTGTGCAAAGGGACGTTCCACTCTGTGAGTTGAATACACACAGCACAAAGAAGTTACTGAGAATTCTTCTGTCTAGCATGAAATGAAGAAATCCCGTTTCCAACGAAGGCCTCAATGCGGTCCATATATCCACTTGCAGACTTTACAAACAGAGTGTTTCCAAACTGCTCTATGAAAAGAAAGGTTAAACTATGTGAGTTGAACGCACACATCACAAAGAATTTTCTGAGAATGATTCTGTCTGGTTTTTATTTGAAGATATTTCCCTTTCTACTGTTGGCCATCAAATGGCTAGAAATCTCCACTTGCAAATTCCGCAAAAAGAGTGTTTCAAATCTGCTCTGTCTAAAGGGACGTTCCACTCTGTGAGTTGAATGCACACAACACAAAGAATTTACTGAGAATTCTTCCTTCTAGCATTATATGATAAAATCCCGTTTCCAACGAAGGCCTCAAACAGGTCCATATATCCACTTGCAGACTTTACAAACAGTGTGTTTCCAAACTCCTCTATGAAAGGAAAGGTTAAACTCTGTGAGTTGAACGCACACATCACAAAGCACTTTCTGAGAATGATTCTGTCTGGTTATTATACGAAGATATTTCCTTTTCTGCAATTGTCCTCAAATCGCTTGAAATCTCCACCTGAAAATGCCACAGCAAGAGTGTTTCAAATCTGCTCTCTCTAAAGCAAGGTTCAACTCTGTGAGTTGAATACACACAACACAAAAAAGTTACTGAGAACTCTTCTTAGTCTAGCATGAAAGGAAGAAACCCCGTTTGCAACGAAGGCCTCAAAGAGGTCCAAATATCCACTTGCAGACATAACAAGCAGAGTGTTTCTAAACTGCTCTAAGAAAAGAAAGGTTAAACTCTGTGAGTTGAAGGCACACATCACAAAGTAGTTTCTGAGAATGATTCTGTCTAGTTTTTATTTGAAGATATTTCCTTTTCTACTGTTGGCATCAAATCGCTTGAAATCTCCACTTGCAAATTCCACAAAAAGAGTGTTTCAAATCTGCTCTGTGCAAAGGGACGTTCCACTCTGTGAGTTGAATACACACAGCACAAAGAAGTTACTGAGAATTATTCTGTCTAGCATGAAATGAAGAAATCCCGTTTCCAACGAAGGCCTCAATGCGGTCCATATATCCACTTGCAGACTTTACAAACAGAGTGTTTCCAAACTGCTCTATGAAAAGAAAGGTTAAACTATGTGAGTTGAACGCACACATCACAAAGAATTTTCTGAGAATGATTCTGTCTGGTTTTTATTTGAAGATATTTCCCTTTCTACTGTTGGCATCAAATGGCTAGAAATCTCCACTTGCCAATTCCGCAAAAAGAGTGTTTCTAATCTGCTCTGTCTAAAGGGACGTTCCACTCTGTCAGTTGAATGCACACAACACCAAGAATTTACTGAGAATTCTTCCGTCTAGCATTCAATGAAGAAATCCCGTTTCCAACGAAGGCCTCAAACAGGTCCATATATCCAATTGCAGACTTTACAAACAGTGTGTTTCCAAACTCCTCTATGAAAAGAAAGGTTAAACTCTGTGAGTTGAACGCACACATCACAAAGCACTTTCTGAGAATGATTGTCTGTCTGGTTGTTATACAAAGATATTTCCTTTTCTGCAATTGTCCTCAAATCGCTTGAAATCTCCACCTGAAAATGCCACAGCAAGAGTGTTTCAAATCTGCTCTCTCTAAAGCAAGGTTCAACTCTGTGAGTTGAATACACACAACACAAAAAAGTTACTGAGAACTCTTCTTAGTCTAGCATTAAAGGAAGAAACCCCGTTTGCAACGAAGGCCTCAAAGAGGTCCAAATATCCACTTGCAGACATAACAAGCAGAGTGTTTCTAAACTGCTCTAAGAAAAGAAAGGTTAAACTCTGTGAGTTGAAGGCACACATCACAAAGTAGTTTCTGAGAATGATTCTGTCTAGTTTTTATTTGAAGATATTTCCTTTTCTACTGTTGGCATCAAATCGCTTGAAATCTCCACTTGCAAACTCCACAAAAAGAGTGTTTCAAATCTGCTCTGTGTAAAGGGACGTTCCACTCTGTGAGTTGAATACACACAGCACAAAGAAGTTACTGAGAATTCTTCTGTCTAGCATGAAATGAAGAAATCCCGTTTCCAACGAAGGCCTCAATGCGGTCCATATATCCACTTGCAGACTTTACAAACAGAGTGTTTCCAAACTGCTCTATGAAAAGAAAGGTTAAACTATGTGAGTTGAACGCACACATCACAAAGAATTTTCTGAGAATGATTCTGTCTGGTTTTTATTTGAAGATATTTCCCTTTCTACTGTTGGCATCAAATGGCTAGAAATCTCCACTTGCAAATTCCGCAAAAAGAGTGTTTCAAATCTGCTCTGTCTAAAGGGACGTTCCACTCTGTGAGTTGAATGCACACAACACAAAGAATTTACTGAGAATTCTTCCGTCTAGCATTCAATGAAGAAATCCCGTTTCCAACGAAGGCCTCAAACAGGTCCATATATCCACTTGCAGAGTTTACAAACAGTTTGTTTCCAAACTCCTCTATGAAAAGAAAGGTTAAACTCTGTGAGTGGAACGCACACATCACAAAGCACTTTCTGAGAATGATTCTGTCTGGTTATTATACGAAGATATTTCCTTTTCTGCAATTGTCCTCAAATCGCTTGAAATCTCCACCTGAAAATGCCACAGCAAGAGTGTTTCAAATCTGCTCTCTCTAAAGCAAGGTTCAACTCTGTGAGTTGAATACACACAACACAAAAAAGTTACTGAGAACTCTTCTTAGTCTAGCATGAAAGGAAGAAACCCCGTTTGCAACGAAGGCCTCAAAGAGGTCCAAATATCCACTTGCAGACATAACAAGCAGAGTGTTTCTAAACTGCTCTAAGAAAAGAAAGGTTAAACTCTGTGAGTTGAAGGCACACATCACAAAGTAGTTTCTGAGAATGATTCTGTCTAGTTTTTATTTGAAGATATTTCCTTTTCTACTGTTGGCATCAAATCGCTTGAAATCTCCACTTGCAAACTCCACCAAAAAAGAGTGTTTCAAATCTGCTCTGTGCAAAGGGACGTTCCACTCTGTGAGTTGAATACACACAGCACAAAGAAGTTACTGAGAATTCTTCTGTCTAGCATGAAATGAAGAAATCCCGTTTCCAACGAAGGCCTCAATGCGGTCCATATATCCACTTGCAGACTTTACAGAGTGTTTCCAAACTGCTCTATGAAAAGAAAGGTTAAACTATGTGAGTTGAACGCACACATCACAAAGAATTTTCTGAGAATGATTCTGTCTGGTTTTTATTTGAAGATATTTCCCTTTCTACTGTTGGCATCAAATGGCTAGAAATCTCCACTTGCAAATTCCGCAAAAAGAGTGTTTCAAATCTGCTCTGTCTAAAGGGACGTTCCACTCTGTGAGTTGAATGCACACCACACAAAGAATTTACTGAGAATTCTTCCGTCTAGCATTCAATGAAGAAATCCCGTTTCCAACGAAGGCCTCAAACAGGTCCATATATCCAATTGCAGACTTTACAAACAGTGTGTTTCCAAACTCCTCTATGAAAAGAAAGGTTAAACTCTGTGAGTTGAACGCACACATCACAAAGCACTTTCTGAGAATGATTCTGTCTGGTTGTTATACGAAGATATTTCCTTTTCTGTAATTGTCCTCAAATCGCTTGAAATCTCCACCTGAAAATGCCACAGCAAGAGTGTTTCAAATCTGCTCTCTCTAAAGCAAGGTTCAACTCTGTGAGTTGAATACACACAACACAAAAAAGTTACTGAGAACTCTTCTTAGTCTAGCATGAAAGGAAGAAACCCCGTTTGCAACGAAGGCCTCAAAGAGGTCCAAATATCCACTTGCAGACATAACAAGCAGAGTGTTTCTAAACTGCTCTAAGAAAAGAAAGGTTAAACTCTGTGAGTTGAAGGCACACATCACAAAGTAGTTTCTGAGAATGATTCTGTCTAGTTTTTATTTGAAGATATTTCCTTTTCTACTGTTGGCATCAAATCGCTTGAAATCTCCACTTGCAAATTCCACAAAAAGAGTGTTTCAAATCTGCTCTGTGCAAAGGGACGTTCCACTCTGTGAGTTGAATACACACAGCACACAGAAGTTACTGAGAATTCTTCTGTCTAGCATGAAATGAAGAAATCCCGTTTCCAACGAAGGCCTCAATGCGGTCCATATATCCACTTGCAGACTTTACAAACAGAGTGTTTCCAAACTGCTCTATGAAAAGAAAGGTTAAATTATGTGAGTTGAACGCACACATCACAAAGAATTTTCTGAGAATGATTCTGTCTGGTTTTTATTTGAAGATATTTCCCTTTCTACTGTTGGCATCAAATGGCTAGAAATCTCTACTTGCAAATTCCGCAAAAAGAGTGTTTCAAATCTGCTCTGTCTAAAGGGACGTTCCACTCTGTGAGTTGAATGCACACAACACAAAGAATTTACTGAGAATTCTTCCGTCTAGCATTCAATGAAGAAATCCCGTTTCCAACGAAGGCCACAAACAGGTCCATATATCCACTTGCAGAGTTTACAAACAGTGTGTTTCCAAACTCCTCTATGAAAAGAAAGGTTAAACTCTGTGAGTGGAACGCACACATCACAAAGCACTTTCTGAGAATGATTCTGTCTGGTTATTATACGAAGATATTCCCTTTTCTGCAATTTTCCTCAAATCGCTTGAAATCTCCACCTGAAAATGCCACAGCAAGAGTGTTTCAAATCTGCTCTCTCTAAAGCAAGGTTCAACTCTGTGAGTTGAATACACACAGCACAAAGAAGTTACTGAGAATTCTTCTGTCTAGCATGAAATGAAGAAATCCCGTTTCCAACGAAGGCCTCAATGCGGTCCATATATCCACTTGCAGACTTTACAAACAGAGTGTTTCCAAACTGCTCCATGAAAAGAAAGGTTAAACTATGTGAGTTGAACGCACACATCACAAAGAATTTTCTGAGAATGATTCTGTCTGGTTTTTATTTGAAGATATTTCCCTTTCTACTGTTGGCATCAAATGGCTAGAAATCTCCACTTGCAAATTCCGCAAAAAGAGTGTTTCAAATCTGCTCTGTCTAAAGGGACGTTCCACTCTGTGAGTTGAATGCACACAACACAAAGAATTTACTGAGAATTCTTCTGTCTAGCATTCAATGAAGAAATCCCGTTTCCAACGAAGGCCTCAAACAGGTCCATATATCCACTTGCAGACTTTACAAACAGTGTGTTTCCAAACTCCTCTATGAAAAGAAAGGTTAAACTCTGTGAGTTGAACGCACACATCACAAAGCACTTTCTGAGAATGATTCTGTCTGGTTATTATACGAAGATATTTCCTTTTCTGCAATTGTCCTCAAATCGCTTGAAATCTCCACCTGAAAATGCCACAGCAAGAGTGTTTCAAATCTGCTCTCTCTAAAGCAAGGTTCAACTCTGTGAGTTGAATACACACAACACAAAAAAGTTACTGAGCAACTCTTCTTAGTCTAGCATGAAAGGAAGAAACCCCGTTTGCAACGAAGGCCTCAAAGAGGTCCAAATATCCACTTGCAGACATAACAAGCAGAGTGTTTCTAAACTGCTCTAAGAAAAGAAAGGTTAAACTCTGTGAGTTGAAGGCACACATCACAAAGTAGTTTCTGAGAATGATTCTGTCTAGTTTTTATTTGAAGATATTTCCTTTTCTACTGTTGGCATCAAATCGCTTGAAATCTCCACTTGCAAACTCCACAAAAAGAGTGTTTCAAATCTGCTCTGTGCAAAGGGACGTTCCACTCTGTGAGTTGAATACACACAGCACAAAGAAGTTACTGAGAATTCTTCTGTCTAGCATGAAATGAAGAAATCCCGTTTCCAACGAAGGCCTCAATGCGGTCCATATATCCACTTGCAGACTTTACAAACAGAGTGTTTCCAAACTGCTCTATGAAAAGAAAGGTTAAACTATGTGAGTTGAACGCACACATCACAAAGAATTTTCTGAGAATGATTCTGTCTGGTTTTTATTTGAAGATATTTCCCTTTCTACTGTTGGCATCAAATGGCTAGAAATCTCCACTTGCAAATTCCGCAAAAAGAGTGTTTCAAATCTGCTCTGTCTAAAGGGACGTTCCACTCTGTGAGTTGAATGCACACAACACAAAGAATTTACTGAGAATTCTTCCGTCTAGCATTCAATGAAGAAATCCCGTTTCCAACGAAGGCCTCAAACAGGTCCATATATCCACTTGCAGAGTTTACAAACAGTGTGTTTCCAAACTCCTCTATGAAAAGAAAGGTTAAACTCTGTGAGTGGAACGCACACATCACAAAGCACTTTCTGAGAATGATTCTGTCTGGTTATTATACGAAGATATTTCCTTTTCTGCAATTGTCCTCAAATCGCTTGAAATCTCCACCTGAAAATGCCACAGCAAGAGTGTTTCAAATCTGCTCTCTCTAAAGCAAGGTTCAACTCTGTGAGTTGAATACACACAACACAAAAAAGTTACTGAGAACTCTTCTTAGTCTAGCATGAAAGGAAGAAACCCCGTTTGCAACGAAGGCCTCAAAGAGGTCCAAATATCCACTTGCAGACATAACAAGCAGAGTGTTTCTAAACTGCTCTAAGAAAAGAAAGGTTAAACTCTGTGAGTTGAAGGCACACATCACAAAGTAGTTTCTGAGAATGATTCTGTCTAGTTTTTATTTGAAGATATTTCCTTTTCTACTGTTGGCATCAAATCGCTTGAAATCTCCACTTGCAAACTCCACAAAAAGAGTGTTTCAAATCTGCTCTGTGTAAAGGGACGTTCCACTCTGTGAGTTGAATACACACAGCACAAAGAAGTTACTGAGAATTCTTCTGTCTAGCATGAAATGAAGAAATCCCGTTTCCAACGAAGGCCTCAATGCGGTCCATATATCCACTTGCAGACTTTACAAACAGAGTGTTTCCAAACTGCTCTATGAAAAGAAAGGTTAAACTATGTGAGTTGAACGCACACATCACAAAGAATTTTCTGAGAATGATTCTGTCTGGTTTTTATTTGAAGATATTTCCCTTTCTACTGTTGGCATCAAATGGCTAGAAATCTCCACTTGCAAATTCCGCAAAAAGAGTGTTTCAAATCTGCTCTGTCTAAAGGGACGTTCCACTCTGTGAGTTGAATGCACACAACACAAAGAATTTACTGAGAATTCTTCCGTCTAGCATTCAATGAAGAAATCCCGTTTCCAACGAAGGCCTCAAACAGGTCCATATATCCACTTGCAGACTTTACAAACAGTGTGTTTCCAAACTCCTCTATGAAAAGAAAGGTTAAACTCTGTGAGTGGAACGCACACATCACAAAGCACTTTCTGAGAATGATTCTGTCTGGTTATTATACGAAGATATTTCCTTTTCTGCAATTGTCCTCAAATCGCTTGAAATCTCCACCTGAAAATGCCACAGCTAGAGTGTTTCAAATCTGCTCTCTCTAAAGCAAGGTTCAACTCTGTGAGTTGAATACACACAACACAAAAAAGTTACTGAGAACTCTTTAGTCTAGCATGAAAGGAAGAAACCCCGTTTGCAACGAAGGCCTCAAAGAGGTCCAAATATCCACTTGCAGACATAACAAGCAGAGTGTTTCTAAACTGCTCTAAGAAAAGAAAGGTTAAACTCTGTGAGTTGAAGGCACACATCACAAAGTAGTTTCTGAGAATGATTCTGTCTAGTTTTTATTTGAAGATATTTCCTTTTCTACTGTTGGCATCAAATCGCTTGAAATCTCCACTTGCAAACTCCACAAAAAGAGTGTTTCAAATCTGCTCTGTGCAAAGGGACGTTCCACTCTGTGAGTTGAATACACACAGCACAAAGAAGTTACTGAGAATTCTTCTGTCTAGCATGAAATGAAGAAATCCCGTTTCCAACGAAGGCCTCAATGCGGTCCATATATCCACTTGCAGACTTTACAAACAGAGTGTTTCCAAACTGCTCTATGAAAAGAAAGGTTAAACTATGTGAGTTGAACGCACACATCACAAAGAATTTTCTGAGAATGATTCTGTCTGGTTTTTATTTGAAGATATTTCCCTTTCTACTGTTGGCATCAAACGGCTAGAAATCTCCACTTGCAAATTCCGCAAAAAGAGTGTTTCAAATCTGCTCTGTCTAAAGGGACGTTCCACTCTGTGAGTTGAATGCACACAACACAAAGAATTTACTGAGAATTCTTCCGTCTAGCATTCAATGAAGAAATCCCGTTTCCAACGAAGGCCTCAAACAGGTCCATATATCCACTTGCAGAGTTTACAAACAGTGTGTTTCCAAACTCCTCTATGAAAAGAAAGGTTAAACTCTGTGAGTGGAACGCACACATCACAAAGCACTTTCTGAGAATGATTCTGTCTGGTTGTTATACGAAGATATTTCCTTTTCTGCAATTGTCCTCAAATCGCTTGAAATCTCCACCTGAAAATGCCACAGCAAGAGTGTTTCAAATCTGCTCTCTCTAAAGCAAGGTTCAACTCTGTGAGTTGAATACACACAACACAAAAAAGTTACTGAGAACTCTTCTTAGTCTAGCATGAAAGGAAGAAACCCCGTTTGCAACGAAGGCCTCAAAGAGGTCCAAATATCCACTTGCAGACATAACAAGCAGAGTGTTTCTAAACTGCTCTAAGAAAAGAAAGGTTAAACTCTGTGAGTTGAAGGCACACATCACAAAGTAGTTTCTGAGAATGATTCTGTCTAGTTTTTATTTGAAGATATTTCCTTTTCTACTGTTGGCATCAAATCGCTTGAAATCTCCACTTGCAAACTCCACAAAAAGAGTGTTTCAAATCTGCTCTGTGTAAAGGGACGTTCCACTCTGTGAGTTGAATACACACAGCACAAAGAAGTTACTGAGAATTCTTCTGTCTAGCATGAAATGAAGAAATCCCGTTTCCAACGAAGGCCTCAATGCGGTCCATATATCCACTTGCAGACTTTACAAACAGAGTGTTTCCAAACTGCTCTATGAAAAGAAAGGTTAAACTATGTGAGTTGAACGCACACATCACAAAGAATTTTCTGAGAATGATTCTGTCTGGTTTTTATTTGAAGATATTTCCCTTTCTACTGTTGGCATCAAATGGCTAGAAATCTCCACTTGCAAATTCCGCAAAAAGAGTGTTTCAAATCTGCTCTGTCTAAAGGGACGTTCCACTCTGTGAGTTGAATGCACACAACACAAAGAATTTACTGAGAATTCTTCCGTCTAGCATTCAATGAAGAAATCCCGTTTCCAACGAAGGCCTCAAACAGGTCCATATATCCACTTGCAGACTTTACAAACAGTGTGTTTCCAAACTCCTCTATGAAAAGAAAGGTTAAACTCTGTGAGTTGAACGCACACATCACAAAGCACTTTCTGAGAATGATTCTGTCTGGTTATTATACGAAGATATTTCCTTTTCTGCAATTGTCCTCAAATCGCTTGAAATCTCCACCTGAAAATGCCACAGCAAGAGTGTTTCAAATCTGCTCTCTCTAAAGCAAGGTTCAACTCTGTGAGTTGAATACACACAACACAAAAAAGTTACTGAGAACTCTTCTTAGTCTAGCATGAAAGGAAGAAACCCCGTTTGCAACGAAGGCCTCAAAGAGGTCCAAATATCCACTTGCAGACATAACAAGCAGAGTGTTTCTAAACTGCTCTAAGAAAAGAAAGGTTAAACTCTGTGAGTTGAAGGCACACATCACAAAGTAGTTTCTGAGAATGATTCTGTCTAGTTTTTATTTGAAGATATTTCCTTTTCTACTGTTGGCATCAAATCGCTTGAAATCTCCACTTGCAAACTCCACAAAAAGAGTGTTTCAAATCTGCTCTGTGTAAAGGGACGTTCCACTCTGTGAGTTGAATACACACAGCACAAAGAAGTTACTGAGAATTCTTCTGTCTAGCATGAAATGAAGAAATCCCGTTTCCAACGAAGGCCTCAATGCGGTCCATATATCCACTTGCAGACTTTACAAACAGAGTGTTTCCAAACTGCTCTATGAAAAGAAAGGTAAAACTATGTGAGTTGAACGCACACATCACAAAGAATTTTCTGAGAATGATTCTGTCTGGTTTTTATTTGAAGATATTTCCCTTTCTACTGTTGGCATCAAATGGCTAGAAATCTCCACTTGCAAATTCCGCAAAAAGAGTGTTTCAAATCTGCTCTGTCTAAAGGGACGTTCCACTCTGTGAGTTGAATGCACACAACACAAAGAATTTACTGAGAATTCTTCCGTCTAGCATTCAATGAAGAAATCCCGTTTCCAACGAAGGCCTCAAACAGGTCCATATATCCAATTGCAGACTTTACAAACAGTGTGTTTCCAAACTCCTCTATGAAAAGAAAGGTTAAACTCTGTGAGTTGAACGCACACATCACAAAGCACTTTCTGAGAATGATTCTGTCTGGTTATTATACGAAGATATTTCCTTTTCTGCAATTGTCCTCAAATCGCTTGAAATCTCCACCTGAAAATGCCACAGCAAGAGTGTTTCAAATCTGCTCTCTCTAAAGCAAGGTTCAACTCTGTGAGTTGAATACACACAACACAAAAAAGTTACTGAGAACTCTTCTTAGTCTAGCATGAAAGGAAGAAACCCCGTTTGCAACGAAGGCCTCAAAGAGGTCCAAATATCCACTTGCAGACATAACAAGCAGAGTGTTTCTAAACTGCTCTAAGAAAAGAAAGGTTAAACTCTGTGAGTTGAAGGCACACATCACAAAGTAGTTTCTGAGAATGATTCTGTCTAGTTTTTATTTGAAGATATTTCCTTTTCTACTGTTGGCATCAAATCGCTTGAAATCTCCACTTGCAAATTCCACAAAAAGAGTGTTTCAAATCTGCTCTGTGTAAAGGGACGGTTCCACTCTGTGAGTTGAATACACACAGCACAAAGAAGTTACTGAGAATTCTTCTGTCTAGCATGAAATGAAGAAATCCCGTTTCCAACGAAGGCCTCAATGCGGTCCATATATCCACTTGCAGACTTTACAAACAGAGTGTTTCCAAACTGCTCTATGAAAAGAAAGGTTAAACTATGTGAGTTGAACGCACACATCACAAAGAATTTTCTGAGAATGATTCTGTCTGGTTTTTATTTGAAGATATTTCCCTTTCTACTGTTGGCATCAAATGGCTAGAAATCTCCACTTGCAAATTCCGCAAAAAGAGTGTTTCAAATCTGCTCTGTCTAAAGGGACGTTCCACTCTGTGAGTTGAATGCACACAACACAAAGAATTTACTGAGAATTCTTCCGTCTAGCATTCAATGAAGAAATCCCGTTTCCAACGAAGGCCTCAAACAGGTCCATATATCCACTTGCAGACTTTACAAACAGTGTGTTTCCAAACTCCTCTATGGAAAGAAAGGTTAAACTCTGTGAGTTGAACGCACACATCACAAAGCACTTTCTGAGAATGATTCTGTCTGGTTATTATACGAAGATATTTCCTTTTCTGCAATTGTCCTCAAATCGCTTGAAATCTCCAACTGAAAATGCCACAGCAAGAGTGTTTCAAATCTGCTCTCTCTAAAGCAAGGTTCAACTCTGTGAGTTGAATACACACAACACAAAAAAGTTACTGAGAACTCTTCTTAGTCTAGCATGAAAGGAAGAAACCCCGTTTGCAACGAAGGCCTCAAAGAGGTCCAAATATCCACTTGCAGACATAACAAGCAGAGTGTTTCTAAACTGCTCTAAGAAAAGAAAGGTTAAACTCTGTGAGTTGAAGGCACACATCACAAAGTAGTTTCTGAGAATGATTCTGTCTAGTTTTTATTTGAAGATATTTCCTTTTCTACTGTTGGCATCAAATCGCTTGAAATCTCCACTTGCAAACTCCACAAAAAGAGTGTTTCAAATCTGCTCTGTGTAAAGGGACGTTCCACTCTGTGAGTTGAATACACACAGCACAAAGAAGTTACTGAGAATTCTTCTGTCTAGCATGAAATGAAGAAATCCCGTTTCCAACGAAGGCCTCAATGCGGTCCATATATCCACTTGCAGACTTTACAAACAGAGTGTTTCCAAACTGCTCTATGAAAAGAAAGGTTAAACTATGTGAGTTGAACGCACACATCACAAAGAATTTTCTGAGAATGATTCTGTCTGGTTTTTATTTGAAGATATTTCCCTTTCTACTGTTGGCATCAAATGGCTAGAAATCTCCACTTGCAAATTCCGCAAAAAGAGTGTTTCAAATCTGCTCTGTCTAAAGGGACGTTCCACTCTGTCAGTTGAATGCACACAACACAAAGAATTTACTGAGAATTCTTCCGTCTAGCAATCAATGAAGAAATCCCGTTTCCAACGAAGGCCTCAAACAGGTCCATATATCCAATTGCAGACTTTACAAACAGTGTGTTTCCAAACTCCTCTATGAAAAGAAAGGTTAAACTCTGTGAGTGGAACGCACACATCACAAAGCACTTTCTGAGAATGATTCTGTCTGGTTATTATACGAAGATATTTCCTTTTCTGCAATTGTCCTCAAATCGCTTGAAATCTCCACCTGAAAATGCCACAGCAAGAGTGTTTCAAATCTGTTCTCTCTAAAGCAAGGTTCAACTCTGTGAGTTGAATACACACAACACAAAAAAGTTACTGAGAACTCTTCTTAGTCTAGCATGAAAGGAAGAAACCCCGTTTGCAACGAAGGCCTCAAAGAGGTCCAAATATCCACTTGCAGACATAACAAGCAGAGTGTTTCTAAACTGCTCTAAGAAAAGAAAGGTTAAACTCTGTGAGTTGAAGGCACACATCACAAAGTAGTTTCTGAGAATGATTCTGTCTAGTTTTTATTTGAAGATATTTCCTTTTCTACTGTTGGCATCAAATCGCTTGAAATCTCCACTTGCAAACTCCACAAAAAGAGTGTTTCAAATCTGCTCTGTCTAAAGGGACGTTCCACTCTGTCAGTTGAATGCACACAACACAAAGTATTTACTGAGAATTCTTCTGTCTAGCATGAAATGAAGAAATCCCGTTTCCAACGAAGGCCTCAATGCGGTCCATATATCCACTTGCAGACTTTACAAACAGAGTGTTTCCAAACTGCTCTATGAAAAGAAAGGTTATACTATGTGAGTTGAACGCACACATCACAAAGAATTTTCTGAGAATGATTCTGTCTGGTTTTTATTTGAAGATATTTCCCTTTCTACTGTTGGCATCAAATGGCTAGAAATCTCCACTTGCAAATTCCGCAAAAAGAGTGTTTCAAATCTGCTCTGTCTAAAGGGACGTTCCACTCTGTGAGTTGAATGCACACAACACAAAGAATTTACTGAGAATTCTTCCGTCTAGCATTCAATGAAGAAATCCCGTTTCCAACGAAGGCCTCAAACAGGTCCATATATCCACTTGCAGAGTTTACAAACAGTGTGTTTCCAAACTCCTCTATGAAAAGAAAGGTTAAACTCTGTGAGTGGAACGCACACATCACAAAGCACTTTCTGAGAATGATTCTGTCTGGTTGTTATACGAAGATATTTCCTTTTCTGTAATTGTCCTCAAATCGCTTGAAATCTCCACCTGAAAATGCCACAGCAAGAGTGTTTCAAATCTGCTCTCTCTAAAGCAAGGTTCAACTCTGTGAGTTGAATACACACAACACAAAAAAGTTACTGAGAACTCTTCTTAGTCTAGCATGAAAGGAAGAAACCCCGTTTGCAACGAAGGCCTCAAAGAGGTCCAAATATCCACTTGCAGACATAACAAGCAGAGTGTTTCTAAACTGCTCTAAGAAAAGAAAGGTTAAACTCTGTGAGTTGAAGGCACACATCACAAAGTAGTTTCTGAGAATGATTCTGTCTAGTTTTTATTTGAAGATATTTCCTTTTCTACTGTTGGCATCAAATCGCTTGAAATCTCCAATTGCAAACTCCACAAAAAGAGTGTTTCAAATCTGCTCTGTGCAAAGGGACGTTCCACTCTGTGAGTTGAATACACACAGCACAAAGAAGTTACTGAGAATTCTTCTGTCTAGCATGAAATGAAGAAATCCCGTTTCCAACGAAGGCCTCAATGCGGTCCATATATCCACTTGCAGACTTTACAAACAGAGTGTTTCCAAACTGCTCTATGAAAAGAAAGGTTAAACTATGTGAGTTGAACGCACACATCACAAAGAATTTTCTGAGAATGATTCTGTCTGGTTTTTATTTGAAGATATTTCCCTTTCTACTGTTGGCATCAAATGGCTAGAAATCTCCACTTGCAAATTCCGCAAAAAGAGTGTTTCAAATCTGCTCTGTCTAAAGGGACGTTCCACTCTGTGAGTTGAATGCACACCACACAAAGAATTTACTGAGAATTCTTCCGTCTAGCATTCAATGAAGAAATCCCGTTTCCAACGAAGGCCTCAAACAGGTCCATATATCCAATTGCAGACTTTACAAACAGTGTGTTTCCAAACTCCTCTATGAAAAGAAAGGTTAAACTCTGTGAGTTGAACGCACACATCACAAAGCACTTTCTGAGAATGATTCTGTCTGGTTGTTATACGAAGATATTTCCTTTTCTGCAATTGTCCTCAAATCGCTTGAAATCTCCACCTGAAAATGCCACAGCAAGAGTGTTTCAAATCTGCTCTCTCTAAAGCAAGGTTCAACTCTGTGAGTTGAATACACACAACACAAAAATGTTACTGAGAACTCTTCTTAGTCTAGCATGAAAGGAAGAAACCCCGTTTGCAACGAAGGCCTCAAAGAGGTCCAAATATCCACTTGCAGACATAACAAGCAGAGTGTTTCTAAACTGCTCTAAGAAAAGAAAGGTTAAACTCTGTGAGTTGAAGGCACACATCACAAAGTAGTTTCTGAGAATGATTCTGTCTAGTTTTTATTTGAAGATATTTCCTTTTCTACTGTTGGCATCAAATCGCTTGAAATCTCCACTTGCAAACTCCACAAAAAGAGTGTTTCAAATCTGCTCTGTGTAAAGAGACGTTCCACTCTGTGAGTTGAATACGCACAGCACAAAGAAGTTACTGAGAATTCTTCTGTCTAGCATGAAATGAAGAAATCCCGTTTCCAACGAAGGCCTCAATGCGGTCCATATATCCACTTGCAGACTTTACAAACAGAGTGTTTCCAAACTGCTCTATGAAAAGAAAGGTTAAACTATGTGAGTTGAACGCACACATCACAAAGAATTTTCTGAGAATGATTCTGTCTGGTTTTTATTTGAAGATATTTCCCTTTCTACTGTTGGCATCAAATGGCTAGAAATCTCCACTAGCAAATTCCGCAAAAAGAGTGTTTCAAATCTGCTCTGTCTAAAGGGGACGTTCCACTCTGTGAGTTGAATGCACACCACACAAAGAATTTACTGAGAATTCTTCCCGTCTAGCATTCAATGAAGAAATCCCGTTTCCAACGAAGGCCTCAAACAGGTCCATATATCCAATTGCAGACTTTACAAACAGTGTGTTTCCAAACTCCTCTATGAAAAGAAAGGTTAAACTCTGTGAGTGGAACGCACACATCACAAAGCACTTTCTGAGAATGATTCTGTCTGGTTATTATACGAAGATATTTCCTTTTCTGCAATTGTCCTCAAACCGCTTGAAATCTCCACCTGAAAATGCCACAGCAAGAGTGTTTCAAATCTGCTCTCTCTAAAGCAAGGTTCAACTCTGTGAGTTGAATACACACAACACAAAAAAGTTACTGAGAACTCTTCTTAGTCTAGCATGAAAGGAAGAAACCCCGTTTGCAACGAAGGCCTCAAAGAGGTCCAAATATCCACTTGCAGACATAACAAGCAGAGTGTTTCTAAACTGCTCTAAGAAAAGAAAGGTTAAACTCTGTGAGTTGAAGGCACACATCACAAAGTAGTTTCTGAGAATGATTCTGTCTAGTTTTTATTTGAAGATATTTCCTTTTCTACTGTTGGCATCAAATCGCTTGAAATCTCCACTTGCAAATTCCACAAAAAGAGTGTTTCAAATCTGCTCTGTGTAAAGGGACGTTCCACTCTGTGAGTTGAATACACACAGCACAAAGAAGTTACTGAGAATTCTTCTGTCTAGCATGAAATGAAGAAATCCCGTTTCCAACGAAGGCCTCAAAGCGGTCCATATATCCACTTGCAGACATTACCAACAGAGTGTTCCCAAACTGCTCTATGAAAAGAAAGGTTAAACTATGTGAGTTGAACGCACACATCACAAAGAATTTTCTGAGAATGATTCTGTCTGGTTTTTATTTGAAGATATTTCCCTTTCTACTGTTGGCATCAAATGGCTAGAAATCTCCACTTGCAAATTCCGCAAAAAGAGTGTTTCAAATCTGCTGTGTCTAAAGGGACGTTCCACTCTGTGAGTTGAATGCACACAACACAAAGAATTTACTGAGAATTCTTCCGTCTAGCATTCAATGAAGAAATCCCGTTTCCAACGAAGGCCTCAAACAGGTCCATATATCCACTTGCAGACTTTACAAACAGTTTGTTTCCAAACTCCTCTATGAAAAGAAAGGTTAAACTCTGTGAGTGGAACGCACACATCACAAAGCACTTTCTGAGAATGATTCTGTCTGGTTATTATACGAAGATATTTCCTTTTCTGCAATTGTCCTCAAATCGCTTGAAATCTCCACCTGAAAATGCCACAGCAAGAGTGTTTCAAATCTGCTCTCTCTAAAGCAAGGTTCAACTCTGTGAGTTGAATACACACAACACAAAAAAGTTACTGAGAACTCTTCTTAGTCTAGCATGAAAGGAAGAAACCCCGTTTGCAACGAAGGCCTCAAAGAGGTCCAAATATCCACTTGCAGACATAACAAGCAGAGTGTTTCTAAACTGCTCTAAGAAAAGAAAGGTTAAACTCTGTGAGTTGAAGGCACACATCACAAAGTAGTTTCTGAGAATGATTCTGTCTAGTTTTTATTTGAAGATATTTCCTTTTCTACGGTTGGCATCAAATCGCTTGAAATCTCCACTTGCAAACTCCACAAAAAGAGTGTTTCAAATCTGCTCTGTGTAAAGGGACGTTCCACTCTGTGAGTTGAATACACACAGCACAAAGAAGTTACTGAGAATTCTTCTGTCTAGCATGAAATGAAGAAATCCCGTTTCCAACGAAGGCCTCAATGCGGTCCATATATCCACTTGCAGACTTTACAAACAGAGTGTTTCCAAACTGCTCTATGAAAAGAAAGGTTAAACTATGTGAGTTGAACGCACACATCACAAAGAATTTTCTGAGAATGATTCTGTCTGGTTTTTATTTGAAGATATTTCCCTTTCTACTGTTGGCATCAAATGGCTAGAAATCTCCACTTGCAAATTCCGCAAAAAGAGTGTTTCAAATCTGCTCTGTCTAAAGGGACGTTCCACTCTGTGAGTTGAATGCACACAACACAAAGAATTTACTGAGAATTCTTCCGTCTAGCATTCAATGAAGAAATCCCGTTTCCAATGAAGGCCTCAAACAGGTCCATATATCCAATTGCAGACTTTACAAACAGTGTGTTTCCAAACTCCTCTATGAAAAGAAAGGTTAAACTCTGTGAGTTGAACGCACACATCACAAAGCACTTTCTGAGAATGATTCTGTCTGGTTATTATACGAAGATATTTCCTTTTCTGCAATTGTCCTCAAATCGCTTGAAATCTCCACCTGAAAATGCCACAGCAAGAGTGTTTCAAATCTGCTCTCTCTAAAGCAAGGTTCAACTCTGTGAGTTGAATACACACAACACAAAAAAGTTACTGAGAACTCTTCTTAGTCTAGCATGAAAGGAAGAAACCCCGTTTGCAACGAAGGCCTCAAAGAGGTCCAAATATCCACTTGCAGACATAACAAGCAGAGTGTTTCTAAACTGCTCTAAGAAAAGAAAGGTTAAACTCTGTGAGTTGAAGGCACACATCACAAAGTAGTTTCTGAGAATGATTCTGTCTAGTTTTTATTTGAAGATATTTCCTTTTCTACTGTTGGCATCAAATCGCTTGAAATCTCCACTTGCAAACTCCACAAAAAGAGTGTTTCAAATCTGCTCTGTGCAAAGGGACGTTCCACTCTGTGAGTTGAATACACACAGCACAAAGAAGTTACTGAGAATTCTTCTGTCTAGCATGAAATGAAGAAATCCCGTTTCCAACGAAGGCCTCAATGCGGTCCATATATCCACTTGCAGACTTTACAAACAGAGTGTTTCCAAACTGCTCTATGAAAAGAAAGGTTAAACTATGTGAGTTGAACGCACACATCACAAAGAATTTTCTGAGAATGATTCTGTCTGGTTTTTATTTGAAGATATTTCCCTTTCTACTGTTGGCATCAAATGGCTAGAAATCTCCACTTGCAAATTCCGCAAAAAGAGTGTTTCAAATCTGCTCTGTCTAAAGGGACGTTCCACTCTGTGAGTTGAATGCACACAACACAAAGAATTTACTGAGAATTCTTCCGTCTAGCATTCAATGAAGAAATCCCGTTTCCAACGAAGGCCTCAAACAGGTCCATATATCCACTTGCAGAGTTTACAAACAGTGTGTTTCCAAACTCCTCTATGAAAAGAAAGGTTAAACTCTGTGAGTGGAACGCACACATCACAAAGCACTTTCTGAGAATGATTCTGTCTGGTTATTATACGAAGATATTTCCTTTTCTGCAATTGTCCTCAAAACGCTTGAAATCTCCACCTGAAAATGCCACAGCAAGAGTGTTTCAAATCTGCTCTCTCTAAAGCAAGGTTCAACTCTGTGAGTTGAATACACACAACACAAAAAAGTTACTGAGAACTCTTCTTAGTCTAGCATGAAAGGAAGAAACCCCGTTTGCAACGAAGGCCTCAAAGAGGTCCAAATATCCACTTGCAGACATAACAAGCAGAGTGTTTCTAAACTGCTCTAAGAAAAGAAAGGTTAAACTCTGTGAGTTGAAGGCACACATCACAAAGTAGTTTCTGAGAATGATTCTGTCTAGTTTTTATTTGAAGATATTTCCTTTTCTACTGTTGGCATCAAATCGCTTGAAATCTCCACTTGCAAACTCCACAAAAAGAGTGTTTCAAATCTGCTCTGTGTAAAGGGACGTTCCACTCTGTGAGTTGAATACACACAGCACAAAGAAGTTACTGAGAATTCTTCTGTCTAGCATGAAATGAAGAAATCCCGTTTCCAACGAAGGCCTCAATGCGGTCCATATATCCACTTGCAGACTTTACAAACAGAGTGTTTCCAAACTGCTCTATGAAAAGAAAGGTTAAACTATGTGAGTTGAACGCACACATCACAAAGAATTTTCTGAGAATGATTCTGTCTGGTTTTTATTTGAAGATGTTTCCCTTTCTACTGTTGGCATCAAATGGCTAGAAATCTCCACTTGCAAATTCCGCAAAAAGAGTGTTTCAAATCTGCTCTGTCTAAAGGGACGTTCCACTCTGTGAGTTGAATGCACACAACACAAAGAATTTACTGAGAATTCTTCCGTCTAGCATTCAATGAAGAAATCCCGTTTCCAACGAAGGCCTCAAACAGGTCCATATATCCAATTGCAGACTTTACAAACAGTGTGTTTCCAAACTCCTCTATGAAAAGAAAGGTTAAACTCTGTGAGTTGAACGCACACATCACAAAGCACTTTCTGAGAATGATTCTGTCTGGTTATTATACGAAGATATTTCCTTTTCTGCAATTGTCCTCAAATCGCTTGAAATCTCCACCTGAAAATTCCACAGCGAGAGTGTTTCAAACCTGCTCTCTCTAAAGCAAGGTTCAACTCTGTGAGTTGAATACACACAACACAAAAAAGTTACTGAGAACTCTTCTTAGTCTAGCATGAAAGGAAGAAACCCCGTTTGCAACGAAGGCCTCAAAGAGGTCCAAATATCCACTTGCAGACATAACAAGCAGAGTGTTTCTAAACTGCTCTAAGAAAAGAAAGGTTAAACTCTGTGAGTTGAAGGCACACATCACAAAGTAGTTTCTGAGAATGATTCTGTCTAGTTTTTATTTGAAGATATTTCCTTTTCTACTGTTGGCATCAAATCGCTTGAAATCTCCACTTGCAAACTCCACCAAAAAAGAGTGTTTCAAATCTGCTCTGTGCAAAGGGACGTTCCACTCTGTGAGTTGAATACACACAGCACAAAGAAGTTACTGAGAATTCTTCTGTCTAGCATGAAATGAAGAAATCCCGTTTCCAACGAAGGCCTCAATGCGGTCCATATATCCACTTGCAGACTTTACAAACAGAGTGTTTCCAAACTGCTCTATGAAAAGAAAGGTTAAACTATGTGAGTTGAACGCACACATCACAAAGAATTTTCTGAGAATGATTCTGTCTGGTTTTTATTTGAAGATATTTCCCTTTCTACTGTTGGCATCAAATGGCTAGAAATCTCCACTTGCAAATTCCGCATAAAGAGTGTTTCAAATCTGCTCTGTCTAAAGGGACGTTCCACTCTGTGAGTTGAATGCACACAACACAAAGAATTTACTGAGAATTCTTCCGTCTAGCATTCAATGAAGAAATCCCGTTTCCAACGAAGGCCTCAAACAGGTCCATATATCCACTTGCAGACTTTACAAACAGTGTGTTTCCAAACTCGTCTATGAAAAGAAAGGTTAAACTCTGTGAGTTGAACGCACACATCACAAAGCACTTTCTGAGAATGATTTTGTCTGGTTATTATACGAAGATATTTCCTTTTCTGCAGTTGTCCTCAAATCGCTTGAAATCTCCACCTGAAAATGCCACAGCAAGAGTGTTTCAAATCTGCTCTCTCTAAAGCAAGGTTCAACTCTGTGAGTTGAATACACACAACACAAAAAAGTTACTGAGGACTCTTCTTAGTCTAGCATGAAAGGAAGAAACCCCGTTTGCAACGAAGGCCTCAAAGAGGTCCAAATATCCACTTGCAGACATAACAAGCAGAGTGTTTCTAAACTGCTCTAAGAAAAGAAAGGTTAAACTCTGTGAGTTGAAGGCACACATCACAAAGTAGTTTCTGAGAATGATTCTGTCTAGTTTTTATTTGAAGATATTTCCTTTTCTACTGTTGGCATCAAATCGCTTGAAATCTCCACTTGCAAATTCCACAAAAAGAGTGTTTCAAATCTGCTCTGTGCAAAGGGACGTTCCACTCTGTGAGTTGAATACACACAGCACAAAGAAGTTACTGAGAATTCTTCTGTCTAGCATGAAATGAAGAAATCCCGTTTCCAACGAAGGCCTCAATGCGGTCCATATATCCACTTGCAGACTTTACAAACAGAGTGTTTCCAAACTGCTCTATGAAAAGAAAGGTTAAACTATGTGAGTTGAACGCACACATCACAAAGAATTTTCTGAGAATGATTCTGTCTGGTTTTTATTTGAAGATATTTCCCTTTCTACTGTTGGCATCAAATGGCTAGAAATCTCCACTTGCAAATTCCGCAAAAAGAGTGTTTCAAATCTGCTCTGTCTAAAGGGACGTTCCACTCTGTGAGTTGAATGCACACAACACAAAGAATTTACTGAGAATTCTTCCGTCTAGCATGCAATGAAGAAATCCCGTTTCCAACGAAGGCCTCAAACAGGTCCATATATCCAATTGCAGACTTTACAAACAGTGTGTTTCCAAACTCCTCTATGAAAAGAAAGGTTAAACTCTGTGAGTTGAACGCACACATCACAAAGCACTTTCTGAGAATGATTCTGTCTGGTTATTATACGAAGATATTTCTTTTTCTGCAATTGTCCTCAAATCGCTTGAAATCTCCACCTGAAAATGCCACAGCAAGAGTGTTTCAAATCTGCTCTCTCTAAAGCAAGGTTCAACTCTGTGAGTTGAATACACACAACACAAAAAAGTTACTGAGAACTCTTCTTAGTCTAGCATGAAAGGAAGAAACCCCGTTTGCAACGAAGGCCTCAAAGAGGTCCAAATATCCACTTGCAGACATAACAAGCAGAGTGTTTCTAAACTGCTCTAAGAAAAGAAAGGTTAAACTCTGTGAGTTGAAGGCACACATCACAAAGTAGTTTCTGAGAATGATTCTGTCTAGTTTTTATTTGAAGATATTTCCTTTTCTACTGTTGGCATCAAATCGCTTGAAATCTCCACTTGCAAACTCCACAAAAAGAGTGTTTCAAATCTGCTCTGTGCAAAGGGACGTTCCACTCTGTGAGTTGAATACACACAGCACAAAGAAGTTACTGAGAATTCTTCTGTCTAGCATGAAATGAAGAAATCCCGTTTCCAACGAAGGCCTCAATGCGGTCCATATATCCACTTGCAGACTTTACAAACAGAGTGTTTCCAAACTGCTCTATGAAAAGAAAGGTTAAACTATGTGAGTTGAACGCACACATCACAAAGAATTTTCTGAGAATGATTCTGTCTGGTTTTTATTTGAAGATATTTCCCTTTCTACTGTTGGCATCAAATGGCTAGAAATCTCCACTTGCAAATTCCGCAAAAAGAGTGTTTCAAATCTGCTGTGTCTAAAGGGACGTTCCACTCTGTGAGTTGAATGCACACAACACAAAGAATTTACTGAGAATTCTTCCGTCTAGCATTCAATGAAGAAATCCCGTTTCCAACGAAGGCCTCAAACAGGTCCATATATCCACTTGCAGACTTTACAAACAGTGTGTTTCCAAACTCCTCTATGAAAAGAAAGGTTAAACTCTGTGAGTGGAACGCACACATCACAAAGCACTTTCTGAGAATGATTCTGTCTGGTTATTATACGAAGATATTTCCTTTTCTGCAATTGTCCTCAAATCGCTTGAAATCTCCACCTGAAAATGCCACAGCAAGAGTGTTTCAAATCTGCTCTCTCTAAAGCAAGGTTCAACTCTGTGAGTTGAATACACACAACACAAAAAAGTTACTGAGAACTCTTCTTAGTCTAGCATGAAAGGAAGAAACCCCGTTTGCAACGAAGGCCTCAAAGAGGTCCAAATATCCACTTGCAGACATAACAAGCAGAGTGTTTCTAAACTGCTCTAAGAAAAGAAAGGTTAAACTCTGTGAGTTGAAGGCACACATCACAAAGTAGTTTCTGAGAATGATTCTGTCTAGTTTTTATTTGAAGATATTTCCTTTTCTACTGTTGGCATCAAATCGCTTGAAATCTCCACTTGCAAACTCCACAAAAAGAGTGTTTCAAATCTGCTCTGTGTAAAGGGACGTTCCACTCTGTGAGTTGAATACACACAGCACAAAGAAGTTACTGAGAATTCTTCTGTCTAGCATGAAATGAAGAAATCCCGTTTCCAACGAAGGCCTCAATGCGGTCCATATATCCACTTGCAGACTTTACAAACAGAGTGTTTCCAAACTGCTCTATGAAAAGAAAGGTTATACTATGTGAGTTGAACGCACACATCACAAAGAATTTTCTGAGAATGATTCTGTCTGGTTTTTATTTGAAGATATTTCCCTTTCTACTGTTGGCATCAAATGGCTAGAAATCTCCACTTGCAAATTCCGCAAAAAGAGTGTTTCAAATCTGCTCTGTCTAAAGGGACGTTCCACTCTGTGAGTTGAATGCACACAACACAAAGAATTTACTGAGAATTCTTCCGTCTAGCATTCAATGAAGAAATCCCGTTTCCAACGAAGGCCTCAAAGAGGTCCATATATCCACTTGCAGACTTTACAAACAGTGTGTTTCCAAACTCCTCTATGAAAAGAAAGGTTAAACTCTGTGAGTGGAACGCACACATCACAAAGTACTTTCTGAGAATGATTTTGTCTGGTTATTATACGAAGATATTTCCTTTTCTGCAATTGTCCTCAAATCGCTTGAAATCTCCACCTGAAAATGCCACAGCAAGAGTGTTTCAAATCTGCTCTCTCTAAAGCAAGGTTCAACTCTGTGAGTTGAATACACACAACACAAAAAAGTTACTGAGAACTCTTCTTAGTCTAGCATGAAAGGAAGAAACCCCGTTTGCAACGAAGGCCTCAAAGAGGTCCAAATATCCACTTGCAGACATAACAAGCAGAGTGTTTCTAAACTGCTCTAAGAAAAGAAAGGTTAAACTCTGTGAGTTGAAGGCACACATCACAAAGTAGTTTCTGAGAATGATTCTGTCTAGTTTTTATTTGAAGATATTTCCTTTTCTACTGTTGGCATCAAATCGCTTGAAATCTCCACTTGCAAATTCCACAAAAAGAGTGTTTCAAATCTGCTCTGTGCAAAGGGACGTTCCACTCTGTGAGTTGAATACACACAGCACAAAGAAGTTACTGAGAATTCTTCTGTCTAGCATGAAATGAAGAAATCCCGTTTCCAACGAAGGCCTCAATGCGGTCCATATATCCACTTGCAGACTTTACAAACAGAGTGTTTCCAAACTGCTCTATGAAAAGAAAGGTTAAACTATGTGAGTTGAACGCACACATCACAAAGAATTTTCTGAGAATGATTCTGTCTGGTTTTTATTTGAAGATATTTCCCTTTCTACTGTTGGCATCAAATGGCTAGAAATCTCCACTTGCAAATTCCGCAAAAAGAGTGTTTCAAATCTGCTCTGTCTAAAGGGACGTTCCACTCTGTGAGTTGAATGCACAAAACACAAAGAATTTACTGAGAATTCTTCCGTCTAGCATTCAATGAAGAAATCCCGTTTCCAACGAAGGCCTCAAACAGGTCCATATATCCAATTGCAGACTTTACAAACAGTGTGTTTCGAAACTCCTCTATGAAAAGAAAGGTTAAACTCTGTGAGTTGAACGCACACATCACAAAGCACTTTCGGAGAATGATTTCTGTCTGGTTATTATACGAAGATATTTTCCTTTTCTGCAATTGTCCTCAAATCGCTTGAAATCTCCACCTGAAAATGTCACAGCAAGAGTGTTTCAAATCTGCTCTCTCTAAAGCAAGGTTCAACTCTGTGAGTTGAATACACACAACACAAAAAAGTTACTGAGAACTCTTCTTAGTCTAGCATTAAAGGAAGAAACCCCGTTTGCAACGAAGGCCTCAAAGAGGTCCAAATATCCACTTGCAGACATAACAAGCAGAGTGTTTCTAAACTGCTCTAAGAAAAGAAAGGTTAAACTCTGTGAGTTGAAGGCACACATCACAAAGTAGTTTCTGAGAATGATTCTGTCTAGTTTTTATTTGAAGATATTTCCTTTTCTACTGTTGGCATCAAATCGCTTGAAATCTCCACTTGCAAATTCCACAAAAAGAGTGTTTCAAATCTGCTCTGTGCAAAGGGACGTTCCACTCTGTGAGTTGAATACACACAGCACAAAGAAGTTACTGAGAATTCTTCTGTCTAGCATGAAATGAAGAAATCCCGTTTCCAACGAAGGCCTCAATGCGGTCCATATATCCACTTGCAGACTTTACAAACAGAGTGTTTCCAAACTGCTCTATGAAAAGAAAGGTTAAACTATGTGAGTTGAACGCACACATCACAAAGAATTTTCTGAGAATGATTCTGTCTGGTTTTTATTTGAAGATATTTCCCTTTCTACTGTTGGCATCAAATGGCTAGAAATCTCCACTTGCAAATTCCGCAAAAAGAGTGTTTCAAATCTGCTCTGTCTAAAGGGACGTTCCACTCTGTGAGTTGAATGCACACAACACAAAGAATTTACTGAGAATTCTTCCGTCTAGCATGCAATGAAGAAATCCCGTTTCCAACGAAGGCCTCAAACAGGTCCATATATCCAATTGCAGACTTTACAAACAGTGTGTTTCCAAACTCCTCTATGAAAAGAAAGGTTAAACTCTGTGAGTTGAACGCACACATCACAAAGCACTTTCTGAGAATGATTCTGTCTGGTTGTTATACGAAGATATTTCCTTTTCTGCAATTGTCCTCAAATCGCTTGAAATCTCCACCTGAAAATGCCACAGCAAGAGTGTTTCAAATCTGCTCTCTCTAAAGCAAGGTTCAACTCTGTGAGTTGAATACACACAACACAAAAATGTTACTGAGAACTCTTCTTAGTCTAGCATTAAAGGAAGAAACCCCGTTTGCAACGAAGGCCTCAAAGAGGTCCAAATATCCACTTGCAGACATAACAAGCAGAGTGTTTCTAAACTGCTCTAAGAAAAGAAAGGTTAAACTCTGTGAGTTGAAGGCACACATCACAAAGTAGTTTCTGAGAATGATTCTGTCTAGTTTTTATTTGAAGATATTTCCTTTTCTACTGTTGGCATCAAATCGCTTGAAATCTCCACTTGCAAACTCCACAAAAAGAGTGTTTCAAATCTGCTCTGTGTAAAGGGACGTTCCACTCTGTGAGTTGAATACACACAGCACAAAGAAGTTACTGAGAATTCTTCTGTCTAGCATGAAATGAAGAAATCCCGTTTCCAACGAAGGCCTCAATGCGGTCCATATATCCACTTGCAGACTTTACAAACAGAGTGTTTCCAAACTGCTCTATGAAAAGAAAGGTTAAACTATGTGAGTTGAACGCACACATCACAAAGAATTTTCTGAGAATGATTCTGTCTGGTTTTTATTTGAAGATATTTCCCTTTCTACTGTTGGCATCAAATGGCTAGAAATCTCCACTTGCAAATTCCGCAAAAAGAGTGTTTCAAATCTGCTCTGTCTAAAGGGACGTTCCACTCTGTCAGTTGAATGCACACAACACAAAGAATTTACTGAGAATTCTTCCGTCTAGCATTCAATGAAGAAATCCCGTTTCCAACGAAGGCCTCAAACAGGTCCATATATCCAATTGCAGACTTTACAAACAGTGTGTTTCCAAACTCCTCAATGAAAAGAAAGGTTAAACTCTGTGAGTTGAACGCACACATCACAAAGCACTTTCTGAGAATGATTCTGTCTGGTTGTTATACGAAGATATTTCCTTTTCTGCAATTGTCCTCAAATCGCTTGAAATCTCCACCTGAAAATGCCACAGCAAGAGTGTTTCAAATCTGCTCTCTCTAAAGCAAGGTTCAACTCTGTGAGTTGAATACACACAACACAAAAAAGTTACTGAGAACTCTTCTTAGTCTAGCATTAAAGGAAGAAACCCCGTTTGCAACGAAGGCCTCAAAGAGGTCCAAATATCCACTTGCAGACATAACAAGCAGAGTGTTTCTAAACTGCTCTAAGAAAAGAAAGGTTAAACTCTGTGAGTTGAAGGCACACATCACAAAGTAGTTTCTGAGAATGATTCTGTCTAGTTTTTATTTGAAGATATTTCCTTTTCTACTGTTGGCATCAAATCGCTTGAAATCTCCACTTGCAAATTCCACAAAAAGAGTGTTTCAAATCTGCTCTGTGCAAAGGGACGTTCCACTCTGTGAGTTGAATACACACAGCACAAAGAAGTTACTGAGAATTCTTCTGTCTAGCATGAAATGAAGAAATCCCGTTTCCAACGAAGGCCTCAATGCGGTCCATATATCCACTTGCAGACTTTACAAACAGAGTGTTTCCAAACTGCTCTATGAAAAGAAAGGTTAAACTATGTGAGTTGAACGCACACATCACAAAGAATTTTCTGAGAATGATTCTGTCTAGTTTTTATTTGAAGATATTTCCCTTTCTACCGTTGGCATCAAATGGCTAGAAATCTCCACTTGCAAATTCCGCAAAAAGAGTGTTTCAAATCTGCTCTGTGTAAAGCGACGTTCCACTCTGTGAGTTGAATGCACACAACACAAAGAATTTACTGAGAATTCTTCTGTCTAGCATGAAATGAAGAAATCCCGTTTCCTACGAATGCCTCATAGCGGTCCATATATCCACTTGTAGATTTTACAAACATTGTGTTTCGAAACTGCTCTATTGAAAGAAAGGTTAAACTATGTGAGCTGAACGCACACATCACAAAGCACTTTCTCAGAATGATTCTGTCTAGTTTTTATTTGAAGATATTTCCTTTTCTACTGTTGGCATCAAATCGCTTGAAATCTCCACTTGCAAATTCCACAAAAAGAGTGCTTCAAATCTGCTCTGTGTAAAGGTCCGTTCCAATTTGTGAGTTGAATACACACAACACAAAGAAGTTACTGAGAATTCTTCTTAGTCTAGCATGAAAGGAAGAAACCCCGTTTGCAACGAAGGCCTCAAAGAGGTCCAAATATCCACTTGCAGACATAACAAGCAGAGTGTTTCTAAACTGCTCTAAGAAAAGAAAGGTTAAACTCTGTGAGTTGAAGGCACACATCACAAAGTAGTTTCTGAGAATGATTCTGTCTAGTTTTTATTTGAAGATATTTCCTTTTCTACTGTTGGCATCAAATCGCTTGAAATCTCCACTTGCAAATTCCACAAAAAGAGTGTTTCAAATCTGCTCTGTGCAAAGGGACGTTCCACTCTGTGAGTTGAATACACACAGCACAAAGAAGTTACTGAGAATTCTTCTGTCTAGCATGAAATGAAGAAATCCCGTTTCCAACGAAGGCCTCAATGCGGTCCATATATCCACTTGCAGACTTTACAAACAGAGTGTTTCCAAACTGCTCTATGAAAAGAAAGGTTAAACTATGTGAGTTGAACGCACACATCACAAAGAATTTTCTGAGAATGATTCTGTCTGGTTTTTATTTGAAGATATTTCCCTTTCTACTGTTGGCATCAAATGGCTAGAAATCTCCACTTGCAAATTCCGCAAAAAGAGTGTTTCAAATCTGCTCTGTCTAAAGGGACGTTCCACTCTGTGAGTTGAATGCACACAACACAAAGAATTTACTGAGAATTCTTCCGTCTAGCATTCAATGAAGAAATCCCGTTTCCAACGAAGGCCTCAAACAGGTCCATATATCCACTTGCAGACTTTACAAACAGTGTGTTTCCAAACTCCTCTATGAAAAGAAAGGTTAAACTCTGTGAGTGGAACGCACACATCACAAAGCACTTTCTGAGAATGATTCTGTCTGGTTGTTATACGAAGATATTTCCTTTTCTGCAATTGTCCTCAAATCGCTTGAAATCTCCACCTGAAAATACCACAGCAAGAGTGTTTCAAATCTGCTCTCTCTAAAGCAAGGTTCAACTCTGTGAGTTGAATACACACAACACAAAAAAGTTACTGAGAACTCTTCTTAGTCTAGCATGAAAGGAAGAAACCCCGTTTGCAACGAAGGCCTCAAAGAGGTCCAAATATCCACTTGCAGACATAACAAGCAGAGTGTTTCTAAACTGCTCTAAGAAAAGAAAGGTTAAACTCTGTGAGTTGAAGGCACACATCACAAAGTAGTTTCTGAGAATGATTCTGTCTAGTTTTTATTTGAAGATATTTCCTTTTCTACTGTTGGCATCAAATCGCTTGAAATCTCCACTTGCAAACTCCACAAAAAGAGTGTTTCAAATCTGCTCTGTGCAAAGGGACGTTCCACTCTGTGAGTTGAATACACACAGCACAAAGAAGTTACTGAGAATTCTTCTGTCTAGCATGAAATGAAGAAATCCCGTTTCCAACGAAGGCCTCAATGCGGTCCATATATCCACTTGCAGACTTTACAAACAGAGTGTTTCCAAACTGCTCTATGAAAAGAAAGGTTAAACTATGTGAGTTGAACGCACACATCACAAAGAATTTTCTGAGAATGATTCTGTCTGGTTTTTATTTGAAGATATTTCCCTTTCTACTGTTGGCATCAAATGGCTAGAAATCTCCACTTGCAAATTCCGCAAAAAGAGTGTTTCAAATCTGCTCTGTCTTAAGGGACGTTCCACTCTGTCAGTTGAATGCCCACAACACAAAGAATTTACTGAGAATTCTTCCGTCTAGCATTCAATGAAGAAATCCCGTTTCCAACGAAGGCCTCAAACAGGTCCATATATCCATTTGCAGACTTTACAAACAGTGTGTTTCCAAACTCCTCAATGAAAAGAAAGGTTAAACTCTGTGAGTTGAACGCACACATCACAAAGCACTTTCTGAGAATGATTCTGTCTGGTTGTTATACGAAGATATTTCCTTTTCTGCAATTGTCCTCAAATCGCTTGAAATCTCCACCTGAAAATGCCACAGCAAGAGTGTTTCAAATCTGCTCTCTCTAAAGCAAGGTTCAACTCTGTGAGTTGAATACACACAACACAAAAAAGTTACTGAGAACTCTTCTTAGTCTAGCATTAAAGGAAGAAACCCCGTTTGCAACGAAGGCCTCAAAGAGGTCCAAATATCCACTTGCAGACATAACAAGCAGAGTGTTTCTAAACTGCTCTAAGAAAAGAAAGGTTAAACTCTGTGAGTTGAAGGCACACATCACAAAGTAGTTTCTGAGAATGATTCTGTCTAGTTTTTATTTGAAGATATTTCCTTTTCTACTGTTGGCATCAAATCGCTTGAAATCTCCACTTGCAAACTCCACAAAAAGAGTGTTTCAAATCTGCTCTGTGTAAAGGGACGTTCCACTCTGTGAGTTGAATACACACAGCACAAAGAAGTTACTGAGAATTCTTCGGTCTAGCATGAAATGAAGAAATCCCGTTTCCAACGAAGGCCTCAATGCGGTCCATATATCCACTTGCAGACTTTACAAACAGAGTGTTTCCAAACTGCTCTATGAAAAGAAAGGTTAAACTATGTGAGTTGAACGCACACATCACAAAGAATTTTCTGAGAATGATTTCTGTCTGGTTTTTATTTGAAGATATTTCCCTTTCTACTGTTGGCATCAAATGGCTAGAAATCTCCACTTGCAAATTCCGCAAAAAGAGAGTTTCAAATCTGCTCTGTCTAAAGGGACGTTCCACTCTGTGAGTTGAATGCACACAACACAAAGAATTTACTGAGAATTCTTCCGTCTAGCATTCAATGAAGAAATCCCGTTTCCAACGGAGGCCTCAAACAGGTCCATATATCCAATTGCAGACTTTACAAACAGTGTGTTTCCAAACTCCTCTATGAAAAGAAAGGTTAAACTCTGTGAGTTGAACGCACACAACCCAAAGCACTTTCTGAGAATGATTCTGTCTGGTAATTATACGAAGATATTTCCTTTTCTGCAATTGTCCTCAAATCGCTTGAAATCTCCACCTGAAAATTCCACAGCGAGAGTGTTTCAAATCTGCTCTCTCTAAAGCAAGGTTCAACTCTGTGAGTTGAATACACACAACACAAAAAAGTTACTGAGAACTCTTCTTAGTCTAGCATTAAAGGAAGAAACCCCGTTTGCAACGAAGGCCTCAAAGAGGTCCAAATATCCACTTGCAGACATAACAAGCAGAGTGTTTCTAAACTGCTCTAAGAAAAGAAAGGTTAAACTCTGTGAGTTAAAGGCACACATCACAAAGTAGTTTCTGAGAATGATTCTGTCTAGTTTTTATTTGAAGATATTTCCTTTTCTACTGTTGGCATCAAATCGCTTGAAATCTCCACTTGCAAACTCCACAAAAAGAGTGTTTCAAATCTGCTCTGTGTAAAGGGACGTTCCACTCTGTGAGTTGAATACACACAGCACAAAGAAGTTACTGAGAATTCTTCTGTCTAGCATGAAATGAAGAAATCCCGTTTCCAACGAAGGCCTCAATGCGGTCCATATATCCACTTGCAGACTTTACAAACAGAGTGTTTCCAAACTGCTCTATGAAAAGAAAGGTTAAACTATGTGAGTTGAACGCACACATCACAAAGAATTTTCTGAGAATGATTCTGTCTGGTTTTTATTTGAAGATATTTCCCTTTCTACTGTTGGCATCAAATGGCTAGAAATCTCCACTTGCAAATTCCGCAAAAAGAGTGTTTCAAATCTGCTCTGTCTAAAGGGACGTTCCACTCTGTGAGTTGAATGCACACAACACAAAGAATTTACTGAGATTTCTTCCGTCTAGCATTCAATGAAGAAATCCCGTTTCCAACGAAGGCCTCAAACAGGTCCATATATCCAATTGCAGACTTTACAAACAGTGTGTTTCCAAACTCCTCTATGAAAAGAAAGGTTAAACTCTGTGAGTTGAACGCACACATCACAAAGCACTTTCTGAGAATGATTCTGTCTGGTTGTTATACGAAGATATTTCCTTTTCTGCAATTGTCCTCAAATCGCTTGAAATCTCCAACTGAAAATGCCACAGCAAGAGTGTTTCAAATCTGCTCTCTCTAAAGCATGGTTCAACTCTGTGAGTTGAATACACACAACACAAAAAAGTTACTGAGAACTCTTCTTAGTCTAGCATGAAAGGAAGAAACCCCGTTTGCAACGAAGGCCTCAAAGAGGTCCAAATATCCACTTGCAGACATAACAAGCAGAGTGTTTCTAAACTGCTCTAAGAAAAGAAAGGTTAAACTCTGTGAGTTGAAGGCACACATCACAAAGTAGTTTCTGAGAATGATTCTGTCTAGTTTTTATTTGAAGATATTTCCTTTTCTACTGTTGGCATCAAATCGCTTGAAATCTCCACTTGCAAACTCCACAAAAAGAGTGTTTCAAATCTGCTCTGTGCAAAGGGACGTTCCACTCTGTGAGTTGAATACACACAGCACAAAGAAGTTACTGAGAATTCTTCTGTCTAGCATGAAATGAAGAAATCCCGTTTCCAACGAAGGCCTCAATGCGGTCCATATATCCACTTGCAGACTTTACAAACAGAGTGTTTCCAAACTGCTCTATGAAAAGAAAGGTTAAACTATGTGAGTTGAACGCACACATCACAAAGAATTTTCTGAGAATGATTCTGTCTGGTTTTTATTTGAAGATATTTCCCTTTCTACTGTTGGCATCAAATGGCTAGAAATCTCCACTTGCAAATTCCGCAAAAAGAGTGTTTCAAATCTGCTCTGTCTAAAGGGACGTTCCACTCTGTGAGTTGAATGCACACAACACAAAGAATTTACTGAGAATTCTTCTGTCTAGCAGTCAATGAAGAAATCCCGTTTCCAACGAAGGCCTCAAACAGGTCCATATATCCAATTGCAGACTTTACAAACAGTGTGTTTCCAAACTCCTCTATGAAAAGAAAGGTTAAACTCTGTGAGTTGAACCCACACATCACAAAGCACTTTCTGAGAATGATTCTGTCTGGTTGTTATACGAAGATATTTCCTTTTCTGCAATTGTCCTCAAATCGCTTGAAATCTCCACCTGAAAATGCCACAGCAAGAGTGTTTCAAATCTGCTCTCTCTAAAGCAAGGTTCAACTCTGTGAGTTGAATACACACAACACAAAAAAGTTACTGAGAACTCTTCTTAGTCTAGCATGAAAGGAAGAAACCCCGTTTGCAACGAAGGCCTCAAAGAGGTCCAAATATCCACTTGCAGACATAACAAGCAGAGTGTTTCTAAACTGCTCTAAGAAAAGAAAGGTTAAACTATGTGAGTTGAACGCACACATCACAAAGAATTTTCTGAGAATGATTCTGTCTAGTTTTTATTTGAAGATATTTCCTTTTCTACTGTTGGCATCAAATCGCTTGAAATCTCCACTTGCAAACTCCACAAAAAGAGTGTTTCAAATCTGCTCTGTGCAAAGGGACGTTCCACTCTGTGAGTTGAATACACACAGCACAAAGAAGTTACTGAGAATTCTTCTGTCTAGCATGAAATGAAGAAATCCCGTTTCCAACGAAGGCCTCAATGCGGTCCATATATCCACTTGCAGACTTTACAAACAGAGTGTTTCCAAACTGCTCTATGAAAAGAAAGGTTAAACTATGTGAGTTGAACGCACACATCACAAAGAATTTTCTGAGAATGATTCTGTCTGGTTTTTATTTGAAGATATTTCCCTTTCTACTGTTGGCATCAAATGGCTAGAAATCTCCACTTGCAAATTCCGCAAAAAGAGTGTTTCAAATCTGCTCTGTCTAAAGGGACGTTCCACTCTGTGAGTTGAATGCACACCACACAAAGAATTTACTGAGAATTCTTCCGTCTAGCATTCAATGAAGAAATCCCGTTTCCAACGAAGGCCTCAAACAGGTCCATATATCCAATTGCAGACTTTACAAACAGTGTGTTTCCAAACTCCTCTATGAAAAGAAAGGTTAAACTCTGTGAGTTGAACGCACACATCACAAAGCACTTTCTGAGAATGATTCTGTCTGGTTGTTATACGAAGATATTTCCTTTTCTGCAATTGTCCTCAAATCGCTTGAAATCTCCACCTGAAAATGCCACAGCAAGAGTGTTTCAAATCTGCTCTCTCTAAAGCAAGGTTCAACTGTGTGAGTTGAATACACACAACACAAAAAAGTTACTGAGAACTCTTCTTAGTCTAGCATGAAAGGAAGAAACCCCGTTTGCAACGAAGGCCTCAAAGAGGTCCAAATATCCACTTGCAGACATAACAAGCAGAGTGTTTCTAAACTGCTCTAAGAAAAGAAAGGTTAAACTCTGTGAGTTGAAGGCACACATCACAAAGTAGTTTCTGAGAATGATTCTGTCTAGTTTTTATTTGAAGATATTTCCTTTTCTACTGTTGGCATCAAATCGCTTGAAATCTCCAATTGCAAACTCCACAAAAAGAGTGTTTCAAATCTGCTCTGTGCAAAGGGACGTTCCACTCTGTGAGTTGAATACACACAGCACAAAGAAGTTACTGAGAATTCTTCTGTCTAGCATGAAATGAAGAAATCCCGTTTCCAACGAAGGCCTCAATGCGGTCCATATATCCACTTGCAGACTTTACAAACAGAGTGTTTCCAAACTGCTCTATGAAAAGAAAGGTTAAACTATGTGAGTTGAACGCACACATCACAAAGAATTTTCTGAGAATGATTCTGTCTGGTTTTTATTTGAAGATATTTCCCTTTCTACTGTTGGCATCAAATGGCTAGAAATCTCCACTTGCAAATTCCGCAAAAAGAGTGTTTCAAATCTGCTCTGTCTAAAGGGACGTTCCACTCTGTGAGTTGAATGCACACAACACAAAGAATTTACTGAGAATTCTTCCGTCTAGCATTCAATGAAGAAATCCCGTTTCCAACGAAGGCCTCAAACAGGTCCATATATCCACTTGCAGAGTTTACAAACAGTGTGTTTCCAAACTCCTCTATGAAAAGAAAGGTTAAACTCTGTGAGTGGAACGCACACATCACAAAGCACTTTCTGAGAATGATTCTGTCTGGTTATTATACGAAGATATTTCCTTTTCTGCAATTGTCCTCAAAACGATTGAAATCTCCACCTGAAAATGCCACAGCAAGAGTGTTTCAAATCTGCTCTCTCTAAAGCAAGGTTCAACTCTGTGAGTTGAATACACACAACACAGAAAAGTTACTGAGAACTCTTCTTAGTCTAGCATGAAAGGAAGAAACCCCGTTTGCAACGAAGGCCTCAAAGAGGTCCAAATATCCACTTGCAGACATAACAAGCAGAGTGTTTCTAAACTGCTCTAAGAAAAGAAAGGTTAAACTCTGTGAGTTGAAGGCACACATCACAAAGTAGTTTCTGAGAATGATTCTGTCTAGTTTTTATTTGAAGATATTTCCTTTTCTACTGTTGGCATCAAATCGCTTGAAATCTCCACTTGCAAACTCCACAAAAAGAGTGTTTCAAATCTGCTCTGTGTAAAGGGACGTTCCACTCTGTGAGTTGAATACACACAGCACAAAGAAGTTACTGAGAATTCTTCTGTCTAGCATGAAATGAAGAAATCCCGTTTCCAACGAAGGCCTCAATGCGGTCCATATATCCACTTGCAGACTTTACAAACAGAGTGTTTCCAAACTGCTCTATGAAAAGAAAGGTTAAACTATGTGAGTTGAACGCACACATCACAAAGAATTTTCTGAGAATGATTCTGTCTGGTTTTTATTTGAAGATATTTCCCTTTCTACTGTTGGCATCAAATGGCTAGAAATCTCCACTTGCAAATTCCGCAAAAAGAGTGTTTCAAATCTGCTCTGTCTAAAGGGACGTTCCACTCTGTGAGTTGAATGCACACAACACAAAGAATTTACTGAGAATTCTTCCGTCTAGCATTCAATGAAGAAATCCCGTTTCCAACGAAGGCCTCAAACAGGTCCATATATCCACTTGCAGACTTTACAAACAGTGTGTTTCCAAACTCCTCTATGAAAAGAAAGGTTAAACTCTGTGAGTGGAACGCACACATCACAAAGCACTTTCTGAGAATGATTCTGTCTGGTTATTATACGAAGATATTTCCTTTTCTGCAATTGTCCTCAAATCGCTTGAAATCTCCACCTGAAAATGCCACAGCAAGAGTGTTTCAAATCTGCTCTCTCTAAAGCAAGGTTCAACTCTGTGAGTTGAATACACACAACACAAAAAAGTTACTGAGAACTCTTCTTAGTCTAGCATGAAAGGAAGACTCCCCGTTTGCAACGAAGGCCTCAAAGAGGTCCAAATAACCACTTGCAGACATAACAAGCAGAGTGTTTCTAAACTGCTCTAAGAAAAGAAAGGTTAAACTCTGTGAGTTGAAGGCACACATCACAAAGTAGTTTCTGAGAATGATTCTGTCTAGTTTTTATTTGAAGATATTTCCTTTTCTACTGTTGGCATCAAATCGCTTGAAATCTCCACTTGCAAATTCCACAAAAAGAGTGTTTCAAATCTGCTCTGTGCAAAGGGACGTTCCACTCTGTGAGTTGAATACACACAGCACAAAGAAGTTACTGAGAATTCTTCTGTCTAGCATGAAATGAAGAAATCCCGTTTCCAACGAAGGCCTCAATGCGGTCCATATATCCACTTGCAGACTTTACAAACAGAGTGTTTCCAAACTGCTCTATGAAAAGAAAGGTTAAACTATGTGAGTTGAACGCACACATCACAAAGAATTTTCTGAGAATGATTCTGTCTGGTTTTTATTTGAAGATATTTCCCTTTCTACTGTTGGCATCAAATGGCTAGAAATCTCCACTTGCAAATTCCGCAAAAAGAGTGTTTCAAATCTGCTCTGTCTAAAGGGACGTTCCACTCTGTGAGTTGAATGCACACCACACAAAGAATTTACTGAGAATTCTTCCGTCTAGCAGTCAATGAAGAAATCCCGTTTCCAACGAAGGCCTCAAACAGGTCCATATATCCACTTGCAGACTTTACAAACAGTGTGTTTCCAAACTCCTCTATGAAAAGAAAGGTTAAACTCTGTGAGTGGAACGCACACATCACAAAGCACTTTCTGAGAATGATTCTGTCTGGTTGTTATACGAAGATATTTCCTTTTCTGTAATTGTCCTCAAATCGCTTGAAATCTCCACCTGAAAATGCCACAGCAAGAGTGTTTCAAATCTGCTCTCTCTAAAGCAAGGTTCAACTCTGTGAGTTGAATACACACAACACAAAAAAGTTACTGAGAACTCTTCTTAGTCTAGCATGAAAGGAAGAAACCCCGTTTGCAACGAAGGCCTCAAAGAGGTCCAAATATCCACTTGCAGACATAACAAGCAGAGTGTTTCTAAACTGCTCTAAGAAAAGAAAGGTTAAACTCTGTGAGTTGAAGGCACACATCACAAAGTAGTTTCTGAGAATGATTCTGTCTAGTTTTTATTTGAAGATATTTCCTTTTCTACTGTTGGCATCAAATCGCTTGAAATCTCCACTTGCAAATTCCACAAAAAGAGTGTTTCAAATCTGCTCTGTGTAAAGGGACGTTCCACTCTGTGAGTTGAATACACACAGCACAAAGCAGTTACTGAGAATTCTTCTGTCTAGCATGAAATGAAGAAATCCCGTTTCCAACGAAGGCCTCAATGCGGTCCATATATCCACTTGCAGACTTTACAAACAGAGTGTTTCCAAACTGCTCTATGAAAAGAAAGGTTAAACTATGTGAGTTGAACGCACACATCACAAAGAATTTTCTGAGAATGATTCTGTCTGGTTTTTATTTGAAGATATTTCCCTTTCTACTGTTGGCATCAAATGGCTAGAAATCTCCACTTGCAAATTCCGCAAAAAGAGTGTTTCAAATCTGCTCTGTCTAAAGGGACGTTCCACTCTGTGAGTTGAATGCACACCACACAAAGAATTTACTGAGAATTCTTCCGTCTAGCATTCAATGAAGAAATCCCGTTTCCAACGAAGGCCTCAAACAGGTCCATATATCCACTTGCAGAGTTTACAAACAGTGTGTTTCCAAACTCCTCTATGAAAAGAAAGGTTAAACTCTGTGAGTGGAACGCACACATCACAAAGCACTTTCTGAGAATGATTCTGTCTGGTTATTATACGAAGATATTCCCTTTTCTGCAATTTTCCTCAAATCGCTTGAAATCTCCACCTGAAAATGCCACAGCAAGAGTGTTTCAAATCTGCTCTCTCTAAAGCAAGGTTCAACTCTGTGAGTTGAATACACACAGCACAAAGAAGTTACTGAGAATTCTTCTTAGTCTAGCATTAAAGGAAGAAACCCCGTTTGCAATGAAGGCCTCAAAGAGGTCCAAATATCCACTTGCAGACATAACAAGCAGAGTGTTTCTAAACTGCTCTAAGAAAAGAAAGGTTAAACTCTGTGAGTTGAAGGCACACATCACAAAGTAGTTTCTGAGAATGATTCCGTCTAGTTTTTATTTGAAGATATTTCCTTTTCTACTGTTGGCATCAAATCGCTTGAAATCTCCACTTGCAAATTCCACAAAAAGAGTGTTTCAAATCTGCTCTGTGTAAAGGAACGTTCCACTCTGTGAGTTGAATACACACAGCACAAAGAAGTTACTGAGAATTCTTCTGTCTAGCATGAAATGAAGAAATCCCGTTTCCAACGAAGGCCTCAATGCGGTCCATATATCCACTTGCAGACTTTACAAACAGAGTGTTTCCAAACTGCTCTATGAAAAGAAAGGTTAAACTATGTGAGTTGAACGCACACATCACAAAGAATTTTCTGAGAATGATTCTGTCTGGTTTTTATTTGAAGATATTTCCCTTTCTACTGTTGGCATCAAATGGCTAGAAATCTCCACTTGCAAATTCCGCAAAAAGAGTGTTTCAAATCTGCTCTGTCTAAAGGGACGTTCCACTCTGTGAGTTGAATGCACACAACACAAAGAATTTACTGAGAATTCTTCCGTCTAGCATTCAATGAAGAAATCCCGTTTCCAAAGAAGGCCTCAAACAGGTCCATATATCCAATTGCAGACTTTACAAACAGTGTGTTTCCAAACTCCTCTATGAAAAGAAAGGTTAAACTCTGTGAGTTGAACGCACACATCACAAAGCACTTTCTGAGAATGATTTTGTCTGGTTATTATACGAAGATATTTCCTTTTCTGCAATTGTCCTCAAATCGCTTGAAATCTCCACCTGAAAATGCCACAGCAAGAGTGTTTCAAATCTGCTCTCTCTAAAGCAAGGTTCAACTCTGTGAGTTGAATACACACAACACAAAAAAGTTACTGAGAACTCTTCTTAGTCTAGCATGAAAGGAAGAAACCCCGTTTGCAACGAAGGCCTCAAAGAGGTCCAAATATCCACTTGCAGACATAACAAGCAGAGTGTTTCTAAACTGCTCTAAGAAAAGAAAGGTTAAACTCTGTGAGTTGAAGGCACACATCACAAAGTAGTTTTTGAGAATGATTCTGTCTAGTTTTTATTTGAAGATATTTCCTTTTCTACTGTTGGCATCAAATCGCTTGAAATCTCCACTTGCAAACTCCACAAAAAGAGTGTTTCAAATCTGCTCTGTGCAAAGGGACGTTCCACTCTGTGAGTTGAATACACACAGCACAAAGAAGTTACTGAGAATTCTTCTGTCTAGCATGAAATGAAGAAATCCCGTTTCCAACGAAGGCCTCAATGCGGTCCATATATCCACTTGCAGACTTTACAAACAGAGTGTTTCCAAACTGCTCTATGAAAAGAAAGGTTAAACTATGTGAGTTGAACGCACACATCACAAAGAATTTTCTGAGAATGATTCTGTCTGGTTTTTATTTGAAGATATTTCCCTTTCTACTGTTGGCATCAAATGGCTAGAAATCTCCACTTGCAAATTCCGCAAAAAGAGTGTTTCAAATCTGCTCTGTCTAAAGGGACGTTCCACTCTGTGAGTTGAATGCACACAACACAAAGAATTTACTGAGAATTCTTCCGTCTAGCATTCAATGAAGAAATCCCGTTTCCAACGAAGGCCTCAAACAGGTCCATATATCCACTTGCAGACTTTACAAACAGTGTGTTTCCAAACTCCTCTATGAAAAGAAAGGTTAAACTCTGTGAGTTGAACGCACACATCACAAAGCACTTTCTGAGAATGATTCTGTCTGGTTGTTATACGAAGATATTTCCTTTTCTGCAATTGTCCTCAAATCGCTTGAAATCTCCACCTGAAAATGCCACAGCAAGAGTGTTTCAAATCTGCTCTCTCTAAAGCAAGGTTCAACTCTGTGAGTTGAATACACACAACACAAAAAAGTTACTGAGAACTCTTCTTAGTCTAGCATGAAAGGAAGAAACCCCGTTTGCAACGAAGGCCTCAAAGAGGTCCAAATATCCACTTGCAGACATAACAAGCAGAGTGTTTCTAAACTGCTCTAAGAAAAGAAAGGTTAAACTCTGTGAGTTGAAGGCACACATCACAAAGTAGTTTCTGAGAATGATTCTGTCTAGTTTTTATTTGAAGATATTTCCTTTTCTACTGTTGGCATCAAATCGCTTGAAATCTCCACTTGCAAACTCCACAAAAAGAGTGTTTCAAATCTGCTCTGTGTAAAGGGACGTTCCACTCTGTGAGTTGAATACACACAGCACAAAGAAGTTACTGAGAATTCTTCTGTCTAGCATGAAATGAAGAAATCCCGTTTCCAACGAAGGCCTCAATGCGGTCCATATATCCACTTGCAGACTTTACAAACAGAGTGTTTCCAAACTGCTCTATGAAAAGAAAGGTTAAACTATGTGAGTTGAACGCACACATCACAAAGAATTTTCTGAGAATGATTCTGTCTGGTTTTTATTTGAAGATATTTCCCTTTCTACTGTTGGCATCAAATGGCTAGAAATCTCCACTTGCAAATTCCGCAAAAAGAGTGTTTCAAATCTGCTCTGTCTAAAGGGACGTTCCACTCTGTCAGTTGAATGCACACAACACAAAGAATTTACTGAGAATTCTTCCGTCTAGCATTCAATGAAGAAATCCCGTTTCCAACGAAGGCCTCAAACAGGTCCATATATCCAATTGCAGACTTTACAAACAGTGTGTTTCCAAACTCCTCTATGAAAAGAAAGGTTAAACTCTGTGAGTTGAACGCACACATCACAAAGCACTTTCTGAGAATGATTCTGTCTGGTTATTATACGAAGATATTTCCTTTTCTGCAATTGTCCTCAAATCGCTTGAAATCTCCACCTGAAAATGCCACAGCAAGAGTGTTTCAAATCTGCTCTCTCTAAAGCAAGGTTCAACTCTGTGAGTTGAATACACACAACACAAAAAAGTTACTGAGAACTCTTCTTAGTCTAGCATGAAAGGAAGAAACCCCGTTTGCAACGAAGGCCTCAAAGAGGTCCAAATATCCACTTGCAGACATAACAAGCAGAGTGTTTCTAAACTGCTCTAAGAAAAGAAAGGTTAAACTCTGTGAGTTGAAGGCACACATCACAAAGTAGTTTCTGAGAATGATTCTGTCTAGTTTTTATTTGAAGATATTTCCTTTTCTACTGTTGGCATCAAATCGCTTGAAATCTCCACTAGCAAACTCCACAAAAAGAGTGTTTCAAATCTGCTCTGTGCAAAGGGACGTTCCACTCTGTGAGTTGAATACACACAGCACAAAGAAGTTACTGAGAATTCTTCTGTCTAGTATGAAATGAAGAAATCCCGTTTCCAACGAAGGCCTCAATGCGGTCCATATATCCACTTGCAGACTTTACAAACAGAGTGTTTCCAAACTGCTCTATGAAAAGAAAGGTTAAACTATGTGAGTTGAACGCACACATCACAAAGAATTTTCTGAGAATGATTCTGTCTGGTTTTTATTTGAAGATGTTTCCCTGTCTACTGTTGGCATCAAATGGCTAGAAATCTCCACTTGCAAATTCCGCAAAAAGAGTGTTTCAAATCTGCTCTGTCTAAAGGGACGTTCCACTCTGTGAGTTGAATGCACACAACACAAAGAATTTACTGAGAATCCTTCCGTCTAGCATTCAATGAAGAAATCCCGTTTCCAACGAAGGCCTCAAACAGGTCCATATATCCAATTGCAGACTTTACAAACAGTGTGTTTCCAAACTCCTCTATGAAAAGAAAGGTTAAACTCTGTGAGTTGAACGCACACATCACAAAGCACTTTCTGAGAATGATTCTGTCTGGTTATTATACGAAGATATTTCCTTTTCTGCAATTGTCCTCAAATCGCTTGAAATCTCCACCTGAAAATGCCACAGCAAGAGTGTTTCAAATCTGCTCTCTCTAAAGCAAGGTTCAACTCTGTGAGTTGAATACACACAACACAAAAAAGTTACTGAGAACTCTTCTTAGTCTAGCATGAAAGGAAGAAACCCCGTTTGCAACGAAGGCCTCAAAGAGGTCCAAATATCCACTTGCAGACATAACAAGCAGAGTGTTTCTAAACTGCTCTAAGAAAAGAAAGGTTAAACTCTGTGAGTTGAAGGCACACATCACAAAGTAGTTTCTGAGAATGATTCTGTCTAGTTTTTATTTGAAGATATTTCCTTTTCTACTGTTGGCATCAAATCGCTTGAAATCTCCACTTGCAAACTCCACAAAAAGAGTGTTTCAAATCTGCTCTGTGTAAAGGGACGTTCCACTCTGTGAGTTGAATACACACAGCACAAAGAAGTTACTGAGAATTCTTCTGTCTAGCATGAAATGAAGAAATCCCGTTTCCAACGAAGGCCTCAATGCGGTCCATATATCCACTTGCAGACTTTACAAACAGAGTGTTTCCAAACTGCTCTATGAAAAGAAAGGTTAAACTATGTGAGTTGAACGCACACATCACAAAGAATTTTCTGAGAATGATTCTGTCTGGTTTTTATTTGAAGATATTTCCCTTTCTACTGTTGGCATCAAATGGCTAGAAATCTCCACTTGCAAATTCCGCAAAAAGAGTGTTTCAAATCTGCTCTGTCTAAAGGGACGTTCCACTCTGTGAGTTGAATGCACACAACACAAAGAATTTACTGAGAATTCTTCCGTCTAGCATTCAATGAAGAAATCCCGTTTCCAACGAAGGCCTCAAACAGGTCCATATATCCACTTGCAGACTTTACAAACAGTGTGTTTCCAAACTCCTCTATGAAAAGAAAGGTTAAACTCTGTGAGTGGAACGCACACATCACAAAGCACTTTCTGAGAATGATTCTGTCTGGTTATTATACGAAGATATTTCCTTTTCTGCAATTGTCCTCAAATCGCTTGAAATCTCCACCTGAAAATGCCACAGCAAGAGTGTTTCAAATCTGCTCTCTCTAAAGCAAGGTTCAACTCTGTGAGTTGAATACACACAACACAAAAAAGTTACTGAGAACTCTTCTTAGTCTAGCATTAAAGGAAGAAACCCCGTTTGCAACGAAGGCCTCAAAGAGGTCCAAATATCCACTTGCAGACATAACAAGCAGAGTGTTTCTAAACTGCTCTAAGAAAAGAAAGGTTAAACTCTGTGAGTTGAAGGCACACATCACAAAGTAGTTTCTGAGAATGATTCTGTCTAGTTTTTATTTGAAGATATTTCCTTTTCTACTGTTGGCATCAAATCGCTTGAAATCTCCACTTGCAAACTCCACAAAAAGAGTGTTTCAAATCTGCTCTGTGCAAAGGGACGTTCCACTCTGTGAGTTGAATACACACAGCACAAAGAAGTTACTGAGAATTCTTCTGTCTAGCATGAAATGAAGAAATCCCGTTTCCAACGAAGGCCTCAATGCGGTCCATATATCCACTTGCAGACTTTACAAACAGAGTGTTTCCAAACTGCTCTATCAAAAGAAAGGTTAAACTATGTGAGTTGAACGCACACATCACAAAGAATTTTCTGAGAATGATTCTGTCTGGTTTTTATTTGAAGATATTTCCCTTTCTACTGTTGGCATCAAATGGCTAGAAATCTCCACTTGCAAATTCCGCAAAAAGAGTGTTTCAAATCTGCTCTGTCTTAAGGGACGTTCCACTCTGTCAGTTGAATGCACACAACACAAAGAATTTACTGAGAATTCTTCCGTCTAGCATTCAATGAGGAAATCCCGTTTCCAACGAAGGCCTCAAACAGGTCCATATATCCAATTGCAGACTTTACAAACAGTGTGTTTCCAAACTCCTCTATGAAAAGAAAGGTTAAACTCTGTGAGTTGAACGCACACATCACAAAGCACTTTCTGAGAATGATTCTGTCTAGTTTTTATTTGAAGATATTTCCCTTTCTACTGTTGGCATCAAATGGCTAGAAATCTCCACTTGCAACTTCCGCAAAAAGAGTGTTTCAAATCTGCTCTGTCTAAAGGGACGTTCCACTGTGTGAGTTGAATGCACACAACACAAAGAATTTACTGAGAATTCTTCCGTCTAGCATTCAATGAAGAAATCCCGTTTCCAACGAAGGCCTCAAACAGGTCCATATATCCACTTGCAGACGTTACAAACAGTGTGTTTCCAAACTCCTCTATGAAAAGAAAGGTTAAACTCTGTGAGTTGAACGCACACATCACAAAGCACTTTCTGTGAATGATTCTGTCTGGTTATTATACGAAGATATTTCCTTTTCTGCAATTGTCCTCAAATCGCTTGATATCTCCACCTGAAAATGCCACAGCAAGAGTGTTTCAAATCTGCTCTCTCTAAAGCAAGGTTCAACTCTGTGAGTTGAATACACACAACACAAAAAAGTTACTGAGAACTCTTCTTAGTCTAGCGTGAAAGGAAGAAACCCCGTTTGCAACGAAGGCCTCAAAGAGGTCCAAATATCCACTTGCAGACATAACAAGGAGAGTGTTTCTAAACTGCTCTAAGAAAAGAAAGGTTAAACTCTGTGAGTTGAAGGCACACATCACAAAGTAGTTTCTGAGAATGATTCTGTCTAGTTTTTATTTGAAGATATTTCCTTTTCTACTGTTGGCATCAAATCGCTTGAAATCTCCACTTGCAAACTCCACAAAAAGAGTGTTTCAAATCTGCTCTGTGCAAAGGGATGTTCCACTCTGTGAGTTGAATACACACAGCACAAAGAAGTTACTGAGAATTCTTCTGTCTAGCATGAAATGAAGAAATCCCGTTTCCAACGAAGGCCTCAATGCGGTCCATATATCCACTTGCAGACTTTACAAACAGAGTGTTTCCAAACTGCTCTATGAAAAGAAAGGTTAAACTATGTGAGTTGAACGCACACATCACAAAGAATTTTCTGAGGATGATTCTGTCTAGTTTTTATTTGAAGATATTTCCCTTTCTACCGTTGGCATCAAATGGCTAGAATTCTCCAATTGCAAATTCCGCAAAAAGAGTGTTTCTAATCTGCTCTGTCTAAAGGGACGTTCCACTCTGTGAGTTGAATGCACACAACACAAAGAATTTACTGAGAATTCTTCCGTCTAGCATTCAATGAAGAAATCCCGTTTCCAACGAAGGCCTCAAACAGGTCCATATATCCACTTGCAGACTTTACAAACAGTGTGTTTCCAAACTCCTCTATGAAAAGAAAGGTTAAACTCTGTGAGTTGAACGCACACATCACAAAGCACTTTCTGAGAATGATTCTGTCTGGTTATTATACGAAGATATTTCCTTTTCTGCAATTGTCCTCAAATCGCTTGAAATCTCCACCTGAAAATGCCACAGCAAGAGTGTTTCAAATCTGCTCTCTCTAAAGCAAGGTTCAACTCTGTGAGTTGAATACACACAACACAAAAAAGTTACTGAGAACTCTTCTTAGTCTAGCATGAAAGGAAGAAACCCCGTTTGCAACGAAGGCCTCAAAGAGGTCCAAATATCCACTTGCAGACATAACAAGCAGAGTGTTTCTAAACTGCTCTAAGAAAAGAAAGGTTAAACTCTGTGAGTTGAAGGCACACATCACAAAGTAGTTTCTGAGAATGATTCTGTCTAGTTTTTATTTGAAGATATTTCCTTTTCTACTGTTGGCATCAAATCGCTTGAAATCTCCACTTGCAAACTCCACAAAAAGAGTGTTTCAAATCTGCTCTGTGCAAAGGGAAGTTCCACTCTGTGAGTTGAATACACACAGCACAAAGAAGTTACTGAGAATTCTTCTGTCTAGCATGAAATGAAGAAATCCCGTTTCCAACGAAGGCCTCAATGCGGTCCATATATCCACTTGCAGACTTTACAAACAGAGTGTTTCCAAACTGCTCTATGAAAAGAAAGGTTAAACTATGTGAGTTGAACGCACACATCACAAAGAATTTTCTGAGAATGATTCTGTCTGGTTTTTATTTGAAGATATTTCCCTTTCTACTGTTGGCATCAAATGGCTAGAAATCTCCACTTGCAAATTCCGCAAAAAGAGTGTTTCAAATCTGCTCTGTCTAAAGGGACGTTCCACTCTGTGAGTTGAATGCACACAACACAAAGAATTTACTGAGAATTCTTCCGTCTAGCATTCAATGAAGAAATCCCGTTTCCAACGAAGGCCTCAAACAGGTCCATATATCCACTTGCAGAGTTTACAAACAGTGTGTTTCCAAACTCCTCTATGAAAAGAAAGGTTAAACTCTGTGAGTGGAACGCACACATCACAAAGCACTTTCTGAGAATGATTCTGTCTGGTTATTATACGAAGATATTCCCTTTTCTGCAATTTTCCTCAAATCGCTTGAAATCTCCACCTGAAAATGCCACAGCAAGAGTGTTTCAAATCTGCTCTCTCTAAAGCAAGGTTCAACTCTGTGAGTTGAATACACACAGCACAAAGAAGTTACTGAGAATTCTTCTGTCTAGCATGAAATGAAGAAATCCCGTTTCCAACGAAGGCCTCAATGCGGTCCATATATCCACTTGCAGACTTTACAAACAGAGTGTTTCCAAACTGCTCTATGAAAAGAAAGGTTAAACTATGTGAGTTGAACGCACACATCACAAAGAAATTTCTGAGAATGATTCTGTCTGGTTTTTATTTGAAGATATTTCCCTTTCTACTGTTGGCATCAAATGGCTAGAAATCTCCACTTGCAAATTCCGCAAAAAGAGTGTTTCAAATCTGCTCTGTCTAAAGGGACGTTCCACTCTGTCAGTTGAATGCACACAACACAAAGTATTTACTGAGAATTCTTCCGTCTAGCATTCAATGAAGAAATCCCGTTTCCAACGAAGGCCTCAAACAGGTCCATATATCCAATTGCAGACTTTACAAACAGTGTGTTTCCAAACTCCTCTATGAAAAGAAAGGTTAAACTCTGTGAGTTGAACGCACACATCACAAAGCACTTTCTGAGAATGATTCTGTCTGGTTGTTATACGAAGATATTTCCTTTTCTGCAATTGTCCTCAAATCGCTTGAAATCTCCACCTGAAAATGCCACAGCAAGAGTGTTTCAAATCTGCTCTCTCTAAAGCAAGGTTCAGCTCTGTGAGTTGAATACACACAACACAAAAAAGTTACTGAGAACTCTTCTTAGTCTAGCATGAAAGGAAGAAACCCCGTTTGCAACGAAGGCCTCAAAGAGGTCCAAATATCCACTTGCAGACATAACAAGCAGAGTGTTTCTAAACTGCTCTAAGAAAAGAAAGGTTAAACTCTGTGAGTTGAAGGCACACATCACAAAGTAGTTTCTGAGAATGATTCTGTCTAGTTTTTATTTGAAGATATTTCCTTTTCTACTGTTGGCATCAAATCGCTTGAAATCTCCACTTGCAAATTCCACAAAAAGAGTGTTTCAAATCTGCTCTGTGTAAAGGGACGTTCCACTCTGTGAGTTGAATACACACAGCACAAAGAAGTTACTGAGAATTCTTCTGTCTAGCATGAAATGAAGAAATCCCGTTTCCAACGAAGGCCTCAATGCGGTCCATATATCCACTTGCAGACTTTACAAACAGAGTGTTTCCAAACTGCTCTATGAAAAGAAAGGTTAAACTATGTGAGTTGAACGCACACATCACAAAGAATTTTCTGAGAATGATTCTGTCTGGTTTTTATTTGAAAATATTTCCCTTTCTACTGTTGGCATCAAATGGCTAGAAATCTCCACTTGCAAATTCCGCAAAAAGAGTGTTTCAAATCTGCTCTGTCTAAAGGGACGTTCCACTCTGTGAGTTGAATGCACACAACACAAAGAATTTACTGAGAATTCTTCCGTCTAGCATTCAATGAAGAAATCCCGTTTCCAACGAAGGCCTCAAACAGGTCCATATATCCACTTGCAGACTTTACAAACAGTGTGTTTCCAAACTCCTCTATGAAAAGAAAGGTTAAACTCTGTGAGTGGAACGCACACATCACAAAGCACTTTCTGAGAATGATTCTGTCTGGTTATTATACGAAGATATTTCCTTTTCTGCAATTGTCCTCAAATCGCTTGAAATCTCCACCTGAAAATGCCACAGCAAGAGTGTTTCAAATCTGCTCTCTCTAAAGCAAGGTTCAACTCTGTGAGTTGAATACACACAACACAAAAAAGTTACTGAGAACTCTTCTTAGTCTAGCATGAAAGGAAGAAACCCCGTTTGCAACGAAGGCCTCAAAGAGGTCCAAATATCCACTTGCAGACATAACAAGCAGAGTGTTTCTAAACTGCTCTAAGAAAAGAAAGGTTAAACTCTGTGAGTTGAAGGCACACATCACAAAGTAGTTTCTGAGAATGATTCTGTCTAGTTTTTATTTGAAGATATTTCCTTTTCTACTGTTGGCATCAAATCGCTTGAAATCTCCACTTGCAAACTCCACAAAAAGAGTGTTTCAAATCTGCTCTGTGTAAAGGGACGTTCCACTCTGTGAGTTGAATACACACAGCACAAAGAAGTCACTGAGAATTCTTCTGTCTAGCATGAAATGAAGAAATCCCGTTTCCAACGAAGGCCTCAATGCGGTCCATATATCCACTTGCAGACTTTACAAACAGAGTGTTTCCAAACTGCTCTATGAAAAGAAAGGTTAAACTATGTGAGTTGAACGCACACATCACAAAGAATTTTCTGAGAATGATTCTGTCTGGTTTTTATTTGAAGATATTTCCCTTTCTACTGTTGGCATCAAATGGCTAGAAATCTCCACTTGCAAATTCCGCAAAAAGAGTGTTTCAAATCTGCTCTGTCTAAAGGGACGTTCCACTCTGTGAGTTGAATGCACACAACACAAAGAATTTACTGAGAATTCTTCTGTCTAGCATGAAATGAAGAAATCCCGTTTCCAACGAAGGCCTCAATGCGGTCCATATATCCACTTGCAGACTTTACAAACAGAGTGTTTCCAAACTGCTCTATGAAAAGAAAGGTTAAACTATGTGAGTTGAACGCACACATCACAAAGAATTTTCTGAGAATGATTCTGTCTGGTTTTTATTTGAAGATATTTCCCTTTCTACTGTTGGCATCAAATGGCTAGAAATCTCCACTTGCAAATTCCGCAAAAAGAGTGTTTCAAATCTGCTCTGTCTAAAGGGACGTTCCACTCTGTGAGTTGAATGCACACAACACAAAGAATTTACTGAGAATTCTTCCGTCTAGCATTCAATGAAGAAATCCCGTTTCCAACGAAGGCCTCAAACAGGTCCATATATCCAATTGCAGACTTTACAAACAGTGTGTTTCCAAACTCCTCTATGAAAAGAAAGGTTAAACTCTGTGAGTTGAACGCACACATCACAAAGCACTTTCTGAGAATGATTCTGTCTGGTTGTTATACGAAGATATTTCCTTTTCTGCAATTGTCCTCAAATCGCTTGAAATCTCCACCTGAAAATGCCACAGCAAGAGTGTTTCAAATCTGCTCTCTCTAAAGCAAGGTTCAACTCTGTGAGTTGAATACACACAACACAAAAAAGTTA